>NC_000007.14:144003834-144155349 GCF_000001405.40 Homo sapiens
TGTGTGCCTCACGTACCCAGTTCATGGTCTGACCTGTAATATGTATTAATAAATGATAACTATTACTGATAGAGAAGACAAGTATGGAAAAATATAGCTGGGCCATGGAGTCTGATCAAATGATTTTTCCTCCCCAGGAGAGCTAAGCCCTGTGTCTCCAATATGGAGTTGGAGAACCAGACACGAGTCACCAAGTTCATTCTGGTGGGATTCCCTGGGAGCTTGAGTATGCGGGCAGCCATGTTTCTGATATTCCTTGTGGCCTATATTCTGACAGTGGCTGAAAACGTGATCATCATCCTATTGGTGCTGCAAAATCGGCCACTGCACAAGCCTATGTACTTCTTCCTGGCCAACCTGTCCTTCTTGGAGACCTGGTACATCTCTGTGACTGTGCCCAAGTTACTGTTTAGTTTTTGGTCTGTGAACAACAGCATCTCTTTCACACTCTGTATGATACAACTGTACTTCTTCATTGCTCTCATGTGCACAGAATGTGTGCTTCTGGCCGCCATGGCCTATGACCGGTATGTGGCCATCTGTCGCCCACTCCACTACCCAACCATAATGAGCCATGGGCTCTGCTTCCGCCTCGCTCTTGGTTCCTGGGCCATTGGCTTTGGCATCTCCCTGGCGAAGATCTACTTCATCTCCTGCCTCAGCTTCTGTGGTCCCAATGTCATCAACCACTTCTTCTGTGACATCTCTCCAGTACTTAATCTCTCCTGCACAGACATGTCCATAACTGAGTTGGTAGACTTTATCCTGGCACTGGTCATCTTCCTATTCCCACTCTTTATTACTGTCCTGTCCTACGGATGCATTCTGGCCACCATATTATGCATGCCCACAGGAAAGCAGAAAGCGTTCTCCACTTGTGCCTCCCATCTTGTGGTGGTCACCATTTTCTATTCAGCCATTATTTTCATGTATGCTCGACCTCGAGTTATCCATGCCTTCAACATGAACAAAATTATTTCCATCTTCTATGCCATTGTCACTCCTTCTCTCAACCCTTTCATTTATTGCCTAAGAAACCGAGAGGTCAAGGAAGCTCTGAAGAAACTGGCATATTGCCAGGCCAGCAGATCTGACTAGTCAATTACAGCTGATTAGAAAGAAAGGTCTGAGTGGGTGCCTGTATGTCTTCCTCCATCCTTTCTCCTTTAACGACTCAGTTAGGACACTGCCCATGTTAATATGACATCACCATGTCTACTTCAATCTCAGGCGCTTGGGTATCTGCATCTGTGCATATGGTCAGTGCTCTAAGGCCATACACCTTCTAGAGAGCTAGAGAAAACAGTTCTCAATGGTTGTGACCCCAAATGGGGTTTCTAAGACTGTGAGTAAATTTATAACTGAGTTAAGTAGGAAGAGAGATGGTGATGGGTGAGTTAGCTGTTTTTGGATCTGCCATACACTAATAGCTCTGGGGCCAACAAAATAGGTGGTAGCTTCCTGATTTCCCATCTTTCTAAGACAGAGGTAGCAACTCCCTCAACAGTCTCATTCTTGATGTTCTGGGAGTGAATTTTGGTGGCAGAGACTGCTTCCTGAGTTTTTGCAACACTTTTTGCAAGCACTTACTAACCTGTATTAAATCCCTTTCTGCTTAAACTAGTTAGAGTGCTTTCTTTTATCTGTAAGTGAATTGTACCTTACACAATTGTGTTTTGTCTTCTGATATAACTCACACAGTTGCCTTTTATTGAATTTTATATTTCCCTTCTAGGTGCCACAATGTATCCTTTAGTGGATGAACATAAAATAGATGATAAATAAATATCATCAAATATATGAATTGCCAAACAATAATTGCCCTCATTACTTCTCTTTTCTTTTGATCTTGATATCCTCTTGTTCCCGCCCCGCACCCCCCTTCCCGCCCTCTCTTTTATCTTCTCTTGGTTTTCCACTTTCTCCACACTCAACTCAGAGATAAGTAACAGGTTTCAGGAATTGACAGAGATTTTCATTCCATGCCATAGTGATTCTCAACTTTCCTTACCTATATATCTAACACCCTCTACACACACGCTAGAACCTCATTGATCAAATGTGCTTTACACCCATAGAAGGTACATAGATATGCTTGCTCTTGGTTCATAGTTTTGCCATTGGCAAAGGGAGATATATTTTTAAGCTGTATTCAACATAGTGGGCCAACATCAGTGGGAATTTAATTCTTTTATTGTAACAGTTTTAAACAGGAGAGTTTCTTGCATTAATAACATCTTTTAGCTAAGAACAAACCACACTTTCAAGAATGCTTTCTCTTTCTTCTTAATTAAGAAACGTGAGGCAGAATTATTTGTTCCATTTTATAAACTTCCAGAACAGATGTTCAAGGAAGTAAATAACATACAACCACAGACAGTGGGAGAGCAGAGGTCAAAGTCCCAGTTCCCTGAATCCAAACCCTGGGTCTTTCTCTAGTGAATGGGCTCTCCCTAGAGAGAAAACATACTTCTTTAGAAGCCAAGTATGAAAGCTAGTTGTAAAGGAATATAGTTGGAATTATGAATTACTATACCTGCAGAACAGTAATAAAATAAAAATGAAAACATGTGAATTATAGGTCCCAGAGGAAAAAAGAAACAAAAATAAAATGCAAGCACAACTTGCTTTAGGGAATAAATGTGCAAAAGAGAACAATGCTTAAAATGGAAAGGATTTAATGTTTGCTTCTGGAATGTAGTTTGGTCCCTTGATGCAACAAGTAAGTTGTGATGAATATATTTCTATTTAAAATCTAGACACACAAAAAAGAGATTATTTTCTGAAAACTTCAAATGAATCAAAATATAATTGCATAGTCATATAGGGATATTAAATGTGTGCATTAAGAAAGGAAAAGACATGTTCAGTAGGGATTAGGAAATGAAAGATAAAAAAACTCTGGCAATAACTTGAATTTTAGCCCTGGATATATATTCACCATGTGACCTTGGCCAAACCATCTATACTTTTGGAAACACTGAGTCTTTATGTGTAAAACAGGAGTAATAATAGTTGCTTGGTGTTTCTTACGCAATGGTTATGAGGATCAACTACCATGATGGAAAAGACATTGATTGTTAAATATCTTGGGCAGTGCATGATCTAAGCAAGCTGCCACTAGATTAGGGTTTGCATGGGAAAACTGTTTGGGAAGGCTATGCTCTCTGGACCTGTCTAAAACAATTCCACACCTAGTTGACTCCACATACTATAGTTATAGTTAACCTGGGAGGCTACAACTATCAGAGGCAGTTTATTTCTTTATTATTTCTCATGAATATCTTGGAAAGGGAGAATGTAGAAGTAGGGTTTCTTGGGGAATTCTATTAAATTTTTTTTTCAAATAACAGATGGAACATTGAGCTCCTTCCCCTTTGTGGAAGGAATACCTAAGTGCACAGGCTCAGCAAAGTAAGGACACAGACCAATGTAGAAATCTGCCTCAACAGAGAAAATAATGTATAGTGGATTACTGGTTAAATTCACATAGAAACAAGCTATTTCTAAGGTGACACACAAAGCAAGCCGGAAGTTTCAGGGCATTTGGTGATCTTGTTGGGGTAACCATCATAAAAGGCTGGTAGTCAGTTTCAGTAGTTTATCCAGAGAACATGCCCTGAAGATTTGATTATCACCATCCAAACTCATAAGGAACCCCACAAAATAAAATATAAATATATATTAATTACACATGCAGTATATATTTTAAATCACTATATTTATTCATTCATTTAACTAATATATATTAAAGATCTATTATGTACGTGTAGGGATACAATAGCAAAATATTAAAACTTGTTACCTTTGTGAGCAGAAACAGATAGCAGATAATACCTTTGTGTGTGTGTGTGTGTGTGTGTATACATATATATATCTAACATACATACATATTGTAATGGGTTGAATGGTGGCTCCCAAAAATATATTTTCACACTTTCAACCTGGAACTTGTGATTGGGAACTTATTTGAAAAAAAAAGAGTCTTTGAAATATAATAAAGTTAAGGACCTCAAACTGAGACCATTCTGGATTATCCGAGTGGACTCAATGTCCAATGACAAGTTCCTTATATGAGAGAGAAGAGAAAACAGAGAAGGTGATGTGAAGGTAGAGATAGAGATTGGAGTTCTGCATCCACAAGCCAAGAAATACCTTGGGCCACCAGAAGCTGGAAGATATAAGTAATGATTCTCCCCCCCTAGAGCTGTCAAAGGAAGAGAGCCCTGATGACAGCTTGATTTTGGACTCCTGGCCTCCAGAACTATAAGACAATATATTTCTGTTGTTTTAAGCTACCAAGTTTGTGGTAATTTGTTATAAAAACCCTGGGAAATAAATACACATCCCAATTTGGGTGGCAATAAGTGCTATGGATGGGGAGGAAGAAAGCATGAAAGTATAATAGGAAGTGCTGCTGGAGATGAGAAATTTTAAATAAGATGGTCACAGAATCACCAAGTGAGGAAGAAATGTTTGAGCAAAAACCTGGAGAAGCTGTGAGAGTAAGATATATGGCTACTTTGGCAAAGAACATTCCAGGTAGAGAAACAGCAAGGGAAGATATGGAGTCTTGTGTAGTATGTTTGAGGGACATTGAAGAGACTGAGCAGCCAGAGCAGTGAGAAAAGGGTAAGCAGGTGATATGGTCTGGCTCTGTTTCCCTACCCAAATCTCATCTTGATTGTAATCCCCACATATCAAAAGGGGAACCTGGTGGGAAGTGATTGCATCATGGGGGTGGTTCCCCCATGCTGTTCTCATGATAGTGAGTGAGTTCTCACAAGATCCGATGGTTTTAAAAGTGTTTGGCAGTTCCCCTCCCACTTTCTCTCTCTCTCTCTTGCCGCCATGTTAGATGTGCCTTCCTTCCCCTTCGCCTCCTGCCATGATTGTAAGTTTCCTGAGGCCTCCCCAACCATGTGGAACTGTAAGTCAATTAAACGTTTTTAAAGTAAATTACCCAGTCTTGGGTAGTTCTTTATAGTTGTGTGAAAATGAACTAATACAGAAAATTCATACCAGGAGTGGGGCACTGCTATAAAGATACCTAAAAATGTGGAAGCAACTTTGGAACTGGGTAATGGGCAGAGGTTGGAACAGCTTGGAGGGCTCAGAAAAACACAGGAAGATGTGGAAAAGTTTGGAACTTTCTAGAGACTTGTTGAATGGTTTTGACCAAAATGCTGATAGTGATACAGACAATGAAGTCCAGGCTGAGGTGGTCTCAGGTGGAGATAAGGAATTTCTTGGGAACTAGAGCAAAGGTCACTCTTCCTATGCTTTAGCAAAGAGATTGGCAGCATTTTGCCCCTGCTCTAGAGACCTGTGGAACTTTAAACTTGGGAGAGATAATTTTCTGGTACCTGGCAGAAGAAATTTCTAAGCAGCAAAGCATTCAAGATGCAACCTGGCTTTTTCTGAAAGCATATAGTCATATGCTTTCATAAAGTGATGATCTGAAATCTGAACTTACATACAAAAGAGAAGCAGAGGATAAAAGTTTGGAAAATTTGCAGCCTGACTATATGGTAGGAAAGAAACAGGCATTTTCTGGGGAGAAATATAAGCCTGCTGCAGAAATTTGCATAAGTAACAGGGAGATGAATTTTAATCACAAAAACAGTGGGAAAAATGTCTCCAGGGCATCTCAGAAATTTTCACAGTTGCCCCTCCCATCACAGGCCCAGAGGCTTAGGAGGGATAAATGGTTTCCTGGGCCGGGTCCAGGGCCCAACTACTCTGTGCAGCCTTAGGACATGGAGCCCTGTGTCCCAGTCACTCCAGCCATGGCTAAATGGGGCCAACCTATGGTTCAGGCTATTGCTTCAGAGGATGTAAGCCTAAGCCTTACTGGTTTCCACATGGTGTTGGGCCTGCGGGTGTGCAGAAGACAAGATTTGAACTTTGGGAGCCTCTGTCTAGATTTAAGAGGATGTATGAAAGTGCCTGGATGTCCAGGCAAAAGTCTGCTGTAAAGGTGGAACCCTCATGGAGAACCTCTACTAGGGCAAATGCAGAGAGAAAATGTGGAGTGGAGCTGTAAGAAAAGGGCCATCATCCTCCAGCCCCCAGAATAGTAGCTCCACAGTTTGCACTGTGCACCTGGAAAAGCCACAGCACTCAATGCCAGCCCATGACTATTGGGGGAACCCTCCCCCAATATTTCAACGTAGGTTCTTTCTATTTTCCATAAGTGTCAGCCATCTGAGAAATAAAGAGAAAGAGTACAAAGAGAGGAATTTTACAGCTGGGCCTCCAGGGGTGACATCATATATCAGTAGGACTGTGATGCCCACCTGAGCTGCAAAACCAGCAAGTTTTATTAAGGATTTCAAAAGGGGAGGTGGTGTAAGAACAGGGAGTAGGTCACAAAGATCACATGCTTCAAAGGGCAAAAAGGAGAACAAAGATCACACACTTCTGAGGAAACAGGACAAGGGCAAAAGCAGAACTCCTGATAAGGGTCTATATTTAGCAGTGCACATGTTGTCTTGATAAACATCTTAAACAACAGAAAGCAGGGTTCAAGAGTAGTTTGGTCTGACCAGAAATTTACCAGGGCAGAGTTTTTTCCCCACCCTAATAAGCCTGAGGGTACTGCAGTACATCAGGGCATATTTCAGTCCTTATCTCAACCACATAAGACAGACACTCGCAGAGGGGCCATTTGTAGACCTCCCCCCAGGAATGCATTCCTTCCCCAAGGTATTAATTATTAATATTCCTTGCTAGGAAAAGAATTTAGCGATATCTTCCCTACTTGCACGTCTGTTTATTGGCTCTCTGCAAGAAGAAAAATATGGCCCTATTTTTCCCGACCCCGCAAGCAGACAGACCTTATGATTGTCTTCCCTTGCTCCCTGAAAACCGCTGTTATTCTCTTCTTTTCCAAGGTGCACTGATTTCTTATTGTTCAAACACACATGTTTTACAATCAATTTGTACAATAGTGGTTCTGAGGTGATGTACATCCTCAGCTACAAAGATAATAGGATTAAGAGATTAAAGTAAGACAGGCATAAGAAATTATGAGAGTGTTATTTGGGAACTGATAAATGCCCATGAAATCTTCACAATTTATGTTCCTCTGCCACAGCTCCAGCTGGTCCCTCCGTTCAGGGTCCCTGACTTCCTGCAACACATGAAAGCAGCCACAAGGGCTGTACCCTGCAGAGCCACTGGGGTAGAGCTGCCCAAGGCCTTGGGAGACCACCTGTTGCATAAGCATGCCCTGGACATGAGACACAGAGTCAAAGGAGATCATTTTGGAGCCTTAAGATTTAATGGGTGGCCTGCCAGGATTCAGACTTGCATGGGGCCTATAGCCCTTTGCTTTGGCCAATTTTTCCCATTGGGAATGGGGGCATTTGCCAAATGCCTGTACTCCCATTGTATCTTGGACATAACTAACTTGTTGTTGATTTTACAGACTTATTGGCAGAAGGGACTTGCCTTGTCTCAGATGAGACTTTGGACTTGGACTTTTGAGTTAATGCTGGAGTGAGTTAAGACTTTGGGGTACTGTTGGGAAGGCATACTTGTGTTTTGAAATGTGAAAAGGACATGAAATTTGGGAGACTCCAGGGGTGTAATAATATGGTTTCACTCTGTGTCTGCACCAAAATCTCATCTTGATTGTAATCCCCATTTTGTCGAGGGAGGGACCTGGTGAGAGGTGATTGGATCATGGAAGCAGCTTCCTCCATGCTGTTCTTATAATAGTGAGTGAGTTTTCACAAGATCTGATGGTTTTAAAAGTGTTTGGCAGTTCCTTCCTCACTTTCTCTTTCTCCTGCTGCCATGTAAGACGTGCCTTGCTTCTTCTTCACCTTTTTGCCGCGATGGTAAGTTTCCTGAGGCCTTCCCAGGCATGTGGAACTGAGTCAATTAAGCCTTTTTAAAATGAATTACCCAGTGTCAGGTAGTTCTTTATAGCAGTGTAAAAACAGACTAATACAGCAGGGTAGGAGATAAGATAAGAGAGACAAGAATAGGCCAGACACTGTTGAACCTGTAGCCACTGTGAGAAAATATTGGGTTTTACTCTGAATGAGATGGGAAACCATTGGTAGGTTTAGAGCAGTGGGGTGATATGATCTTTTTGCTTTAAAAGGATCACCCTAGCTTTTGGTGAAGAACAGGCTTGCATAAGGCAAGGGCAGGAGAAGAAAGAATATTTATGAGTCCATTATGGTATCATGGTGACACACAGCGGTGGATATGATGAACAGTAGTTGTGGAAATGGGGTGAAATGGTCTGATTTTAGATGTATTTTGAAGATGGAGACAATGCAGCATGTATATTCATGTCCATGTGGACCAGCTTGATAAAATATTCAGAGCACACTTTGCAAAGAGCTCTCATTAGTTAGATTTTGCTGCAAACAAACCACCCCAAAACTTAGCAGCTTAAAATTATTAAGTTTAAGTCTGTAGTTTGAAGTCTGTAGATTTGCTGGGCAGGTCTACTGATTATGTCTGGGCTTGCTCATCTGCCTGCAGTCAACTAGCAGGTCACTGGGAACATGCCTGTGAGGTCTTCCCTCCACCTGGTCTCTTATCCTCCAGCAGGCTGTCCTGACCTTGTCATATGGAGATCAAAGTGCTCTAAGAGAGGAGAAGCTTGACAAACCTCTTAAGATCTATACTCAGCATTCACATTCTATTGGCCCAAGCAAGCCCATATTCAAGAGGTAGAGCAATAGACTCCACTTTTTGATGAAAACACCTGAAAAGAATTGTGGCCTATTTGTAGTCTGTCACAGCTTTTTCCCTGAAACAAAAATAAATTTTAAAAACGACCTTTTCCAAACTATTTTTCCACTGCTTTTTTATAGCTGTTAACAGATGCAACTCATTTTATACATGTCACTATGAATTTTTATAAGAGGCAACTACAAATATGAAAAACAGTACCTCTATAACACTGATGGAAAGAGACAGTAAACCTGAGGAAGCACAAAAGATAGGATCATTTAAATTTTTTTAGAAGTTTTCATTTAAGCAAAAATACTAATATCCTAAGTCTACAGCTCAAAGCATTTTCACAAATTGAACACAGCCCATGGAACCAGCACCTGCATCAGAAGAAAAAGAATCACCAGAAACTACACCCCCATGTGCATTTCCAGTCATAATTCTAAGAGTAACTTTTGTCCTACTTCAAACAGCAGAGGTGGATTTTGCCAGATATTTTAGTTAAAAAAATGAATTAGACAATATGCAATTCTCTGTGTATAGCTTCTTTCACTCAATTTTATGTTTCTGAGATCTTTCCTGTTGTTCCATGTAGTTGTAGATAACACATTCTTATCATAGTATAGTATTTCACTGTGTGAAAATACTATTATTAGTCAGAATGGTGATTATTGAAAAGTCAAGAAACAGCAGATGCTCGTGAGGCTGTGGACAAATAGGAATGCTTTTACATTGTTGGTGGGAATGTAAATTAGTGCAACCATTGTGGAAGATATTGTGGTGATTCCTCAAGGATCTAGAACCAGAAATACTATTTGACCCAGCAATCCCATCACTGGGTATATACCTAAAGGAATATAAATAATTTCTTTATAAAGATACATGCATGCACACTTATGTTCGTTGCAGCACTATTCGCAATAGCAAAGACATGGAATCAACCCAAATGTCCATCAATGATAGACTGGATAAAGAAAATGTGGTAAATATGCATTACGGAATACTATGCAGCCATAAAAATAAGTGAGATCATATCCTTTGCAGGGACGTGGATGAAGCTGGAAGCCATCATCCTTACCAAACTAACACAGGAACAGAAAACCAAACACTGCATGTTCTCACTCATAAGTGGGAGTTGAACAAGGAGAATACATGGGCACAGGGAGGGGAACATCACACACCAGGGCCTGTCGGGGATGGGGAGGGGAAGGGAGAGCATCAGGATAAATAGCTAAGGCATGTGGGGCTTAATACCTAGGTGATGGGTTGATAGGTGCAGCAAACCACCATGTAACACATCTACCTACGTAACAAACCTGCATGCTCTGCACATGTATCCCAAAACTTAAAATAAAATTTTAAAAAAGAGAAAATACTATAATTTATTTATCCTTCTCACTCTTTTTGTATAGTGTCCAGTTTGGGACCATCAGGAATAGCATTGCATGGATATTCTAGTACATATCTTTGCTGAACCTATAGATGTATTTCTGTTGGGCATATAACTAAGACTGGAATGCTAAATCACAGGATATGAATATGCCCAGCCTGATAACATATTGTGAAATAGTTTTTCAAAGTGGGCTGTACCAATTTACACTCCCATCAGCACTGTATGAGCAGTTGAGAAGGTAGTTTTAAATGATTAAAACTTCTAAATTAAGTGGAAACATTCTATTATAAAGAGACATGCATGCATATGTTCAGTGCAGCACTATTCGCAATAGCAAAGACAGGCAATCAATCTAAATGCCCATCAATGATAGGCTGGATAAAGAAAATGTTGTATATATACACCATGGAATACTATTTAGCCATAGAAAGAATGAGATCATGTCCTTTGTGGGAACATAGATGGAGCTGGAGGCCATTATCCTTAGCAAGGTAACACAAGAACAGAAAACCAACTACCACATGTTCTCATTTATAAGTGGGAGTTAAATGATAAGAACACATGAATGCATAGAGGGGAATAACACACACTGGGGCCTATCAGAGGGTGGAGGGTGGGAGAAGGAAGAGGATCAGGAAAAACAACTAATGGGTACCAGGCTTAATACGTGGGTGATGAAATAATCTCCACAACAAACCTCCATAACACAAGTTTACCTATGTAACAAACCTGAATTTGTATTCCTGAACTTAAAATAAAAGTTAAAAAAATCAAATGAAAAGTTTTTTTCCAAATGGAAAAAAATTCCATGCTCATGGATAGGAAGAATCAATATTGTGAAAATGGCCATACTGCCCAAAGTAATTTATAGATTCAAAGCTATTCTCATCAAGCTACCATTGACTTTTTTCACAGAATTAGAAAAAACTGCTTTAAATTTCATATGGAACCAAAAAAGAGCCTGTATAGCCAAGACAATCCTAAGCAAAAAAACAAAGCTGGAGGCATCACACTACCTGACTTCAAACTATACTGCAAGTCTACAGTAACCAAAACAGCATGGTACTGGTACCAAAACAGATATACAGACAAATGGAACAGAACAGAGACCTCATAAATAACACCTACACATCTACAACCATCTGAACTTCAACAAACCTGAAAAAAGCAAGCAATGGGGAAAGGACTCTCTATTTCATAAATGGTGCTGGGAAAACTGGCTAGCCATATGCAGAAAAGTGAAACTGGATGCCTTTCTTACACCTTATACCAAAATTATCTCAAGATGGATTAAAGGCTTACATGTAAGACCTAAAACCATAAAAACCCTAGCATAAAACCTAGGCAATACCATTCAGGACATAGGCATGGGCAAAGACTTCATGACTAAAACACTGAAAGCAATTGCAACAAAAGCCAAAGCAGACAAATGGGATCCAATTAAACTAAAGAGCTTCTGCACAGCAAAAGAAACTATCAGCAGAGTGAACAGGCAACCTACAGAATGGAAGAAAACTTTTGCAATCTATCCATCTGACAAAGGGCTAATATCCAGAATCTACAAGGAACATAAACAAATTTACAAGAAAAAAAAAACCCCATCAAAAAGTGGGCAAATGATATGAACAGACACTTCTCAAAATAAGACATTTATGGAGCCAACAGACATATGAAAAAAAGCTTATCAACACTGGTCATTAGAGAAATGCAAATCAAAACCACAATGAGATACCATCTCACGCCAGTTAGAATGGTGATCACTAAAACGTCAGGAAACAACAGATGCTGGCGAGGATGTGGAGACATAGGAACACTTTTACACTGTTGGTGGGAGTGTAAATTAGTTCAACCCTTGTGAAAGACAGTGTGGCGATTCCTCAAGGATCTAGAACTAGAAATACCATTGACCCAGCAATCCCATTACTGGGTATATATCGAAAGGATTATAAATCATTCTACTATAAAGACACATGCAAACATATGTTTATTACAGCACTATTTACAATAGCAAAGCCTTGGAACCAACCCAAATGCCCATCAATGATAGGCTTGATAAAGAAAATGTGGCACATATATACCATGGAATACTATGCAGCCATAAAAAAGAATGAGTTCTTGTCCTTTGCAGGGATGTGGATGAAGCTGGAAACCATCATTCTCAGCAAACTAACACAGGAACAGAAAACCAAACACCACATGCTCTCACTTATAAATGGAAGTTGAACATTGAGAACACATGGACACAGGGAGGGGAACATCACATACCTGTGCCTGCCAGGGGGTGGGGGTGCAAGGGGAGGGAGAGCATTAGGACAAATACCTAATGCATGCGGGGCCTAAAACCTAGATGATGGGTTGATGGGTGCAGCAAACCACCATGGCACATGTATACCTATGTAACAAACCTGCATGTTCTGCACATGTATCCCAGAACTTAAAGTATAATTTAAAAAAAAGAAAGAAAAGTTTATTTTCATAATGAGAAATTCATATCACATTAAAATATAATAATATAATAAAATATTTTAAAAGTAATTATAATGTAGATACTTTATATTTACACATGAATACAAACAACTGGGACTAAGAGTTATTATTATAATCTTATTTTTATGTTTATTTAGGAAGTTACAGGATAGTTACCTCTGTACCCATTAGGAAGAAAAATTGGGGGATATAAATAAATACCTTTATGCTTGAGTTTGGAAACCACTTGGAAGAAGTTGTAACATCCAAGGATTGTGAATATTCAAACACAGTATATCTAGTCTAATCTATCTAAAATTACAACTCTGGAAATTTAGATTGCAAATAATACCCAATTAACACTCCTGAAAAAGCCTCTCACACATAGAAAGACAAAAATTTACAGGTATATTGATAATTAGCTATATAAAGGAGCTCTTAACATTTAGTTTGTGCTTGTCTCGCAAACTGGGAAAAGAGAGCTGATGAGAATCCTCAGCACAGTCAGTACAACAAACTTAAGATGAGCAACACGGTCAATGGCTGTGATGCTGCTCTAAGAAAAGACATAGAACTTTCCATGTGTCCTTGCTGCCCCAAATATGTAGAGATATGTTCATTTCCAATAATGTTTTACACTCTAAGAAAATCAGAAGCAGTTGGGCCAATGAAAAGTAACTTCCTACCTCTGGTGACAGTGACAGCATGGCACGTGGGGTTATTATAGGTATAAGTAAGCTGAGCCCTGGTCACAGGAAGGGAAGCTGTGAGAACTATCCTGCTTGCCCAGATAATGTTTTGAGTTCCAACACTTGAATAGACATCTAAAGTCAGGGCCAAGAATGGTTAAAACACAGCCAAGAGGCTGGGTGCGGTGGCTCACGCCTGCAATCCCAGCACTTTGGGAGGCCAAGGCGGGCGGTCAGGAGTTCGGGACCAGCCTGACCAAAGTGGTGAAACCCCGTCGCTACTAAAAACACAAAAAAATTAGCCAGGTGTGGTGGCGGGTGCCTATGGTCCCAGCTACTCAGGAGGCTGAGGCAGGAGAATCACTTGAATCCGGGTGGCAGAGGTTGCAGTGAGCCGAGATCACGCCATTGCACTCCAGCCTGGGTGACAGAGCGATACTCCGTCTCAAAAAACAAACAAACAAACAAACAAACAAACAAAAACATAGCCAAGAGAGCTGTTATTTATTCTCTCTAATCACCTGTACCCTGAGAGTATGAGCAGACTGCATCCTTCCTAGGAACCAAGAGTGGGAAATTGGGGACTGCTTTCCTATTTTGTCCACTATAACTTAATTAACTGTTTTTTTTTTTCTTAAATAGATCCCTATGTTAACAATCTACTACCTTGTATATAGTGGGTTTCTCTAACCAGATCCCTCTAATCTGGGAATGATCACCAGACCGAAGCCCAAGACTGGCACTGCCTAATGCCATAGTCTGGGCTGAATGAAACAATTATAAGGAAGGAAACTGGTCCTGTTAAAACTTATTTTGATTTGATTTCATGAAAGAAAAGATCTGGAAAAAGATAGGAAGATGCTTTGAACCTCTGTATTGAATCTTGGCAAATTTCACCTTAGTTAAAGATGAGCTAGAGCAATGACAACAGCACATACCTATGGACACGAGGAAGCCACAGCGTGGAAAGACCAAGGGAAAGAGTGTATTTCTGAAAATGGCATATGGCAGAATCTACAGGAAATTCAAGGAAACTGTTTTGCATTCTCCCAAGAGTCCAAGGATTTATGGCTTTTATCATTAAAGTACATAGTCAGGGAAAAAATAACATGACATATATGAGATGAAGAGTCTAGTGTATAAACAGGAAACAGATTATTAAGAAATGTTTTAGATGCAAGCAGTGGAGGTTTGACTCAAGCTGGATTAAACAGTAAGGAGAATGTATTGTCTTGAGTAACCTAACAAAGGATGGACACATTTTAGGCGAGCCTTGATCCTCAGGTCGGTTGTATCTCCAACATCCCGTTTCCTTTTATCTGTCTTTCTGCCTTCCACGTAGTTTGGTTCCACTTGGAACTGACTTCTTTGTGGTCATAATATGTCTGTCAGCATCTTCTGGGACCCCAGACTTCTTCTAGTAGGAAGAGAATGCCTCTCCTGGCACTTATTTCAAACAAACAGACATTTCTTTCCTAGAAACCCTTATAAAATTTCTCCTCAGGTGTTATGGGTTAGAATTTAGTCATATGTCCATGCCTTCCCCTGAAACCATCTCTATGCCCAAGAGACTGAAACATGCTAATGGGCTTAAGCGAGTCAGGGATTACACCTGGGACCAGAAATGGAATCGACCTCCAAAGCTCATGGGCTACACAAAGGAGAGTACATACCTGAATTAAAATTGTGATTCTGTTACCAACAGGAGTGTGTTAGTCCGTTTTCACGCTGCTGATGGGAAATTTACAAAAGAAAGAGGCTTATTGGACTCACAGTTCCACATGGCTGGGGAGGCCTCACAATCATGGCAGAAGGCAAGGAGGAGCAAGTCACATCTTACGTGGATGGCAGCAGGCAAAGAGAGAGCTTGTGCAGAAAAACTCTCGTTTTCAAAACCATCAGATCTCATGAAACCCATTCACTATCATGAGAACAACATGAGAAAGACCCAACCCCATGATTCAATCATCTCCCACAGGGTCCCTCCCACAACACGTGGGTATTATGGGAGCTACAAGATGAGATTTGGGTGGGGACACAGAGCTAAACCATATCAAGGAGGGAGCAGTTGATGCTGAATGGCTCAAAATAGTACATACCCACTATACTACTTCATTTTGGTTGTGTAAAACCCTCATTTATTTTACTTCCCAAGATGAATGGGGAATTTCTAAAATGCTCATGCTAAAAAAACAGAAACAAAACAGAATAAAACCAAACACACACACACACACTCACAACTTCTCACACTACTGCTGAATGGAGATAACATAGAGTCCCATCGATCACATCAAGCTCCAGGTCTAAAATAAAATATCAAGCAGTCCTGTTCATATGTGCAGATAAAATTGTTGGTTTTTTTTTCCTTTTAAAATGTCTTAAACTTGGAAACAGACAAAATAAACTTTGATTGCCTCTTTTTGTTTCTGGGAGGATCTCCTGTTCATTGTCTCCCATGGTTACATGTGAGTTACACAACAGGGAAATTTGTTTTTCTAAGCATGCTCTGCTCACCAAGGGCATCTTCACTGGTTTATTTAAGTATTCAAACTCAAAAGACTCCCGAAGGCCACATTAGCCACCAATGACTCAGAAGGATATCAGATAAGAACAGCTGCTATTTAGTAAGACAATGTCAGGCATTTCTCTCAGCAGAAGCTTTTGCATCAGCAATCTGTGTACTGGTCCACATAGCCGCCCACAGGCTGTCCTCTTCATAGGTGACAATTTAGATCAAAGGTTGAGATTCACATTGGAGGGTGCAGGGATTTTCCTAACTTAAAAGCCACATGATCCATAGGAACCAGTATGTCCTATAAGAACTGCAGGGACATAGATTGCAGGATTCTCATAACAGGGACGTGCCCCTTATAAGAATCACCAAACACACCAAAAAATTGCCATGCCTATTAGAATAACTATTTATAATTATTTTATTGTTACTCCAAGTCCAGATGTAACTTAACAATCAAGAGTCCTTTTTTGTTTTGTTTTGTTTTTTCAAAATCATTGTGAACCAACCATACAGTTGACACATTCCATCTTAGCTAGTTTCCAGGTTAACAGAGTCAAAATCACATAACTAAACAGTCCAGAGCACTTAAATGAAGGTGCTTCCTCGCTGATCTACAAGGGACCATGGTGTTTTAGAAACCCACTTCTCAGTTCACTTTTAGCATTCTGCAGACACTTTAGAAGTTGAGTTAAGCAGAGGCTATTAGCAATCTGGCGTGGAATTTCTCTGTCAATACTACCACACATTTCTCTGTCAAAACTCCCACAAATGTATAGTGGGGTTTTATTCTCTTTGGTCCCATCAATTTGGGCTAGTGACCAAAGTGAAATACTTGATTCTAAAATTAGGTTTGGGAATTTCTGCATGGCCTAGAAATGGGCCTTCAATGTTCATTCCCCTGTTTCTCTTCAATGACGTACACTTTGTCTTCTACCCCTGAAAAAGAAGAAATAATGATCCCATGAGGACTCACTAATAAGCTGCACTTGGCCCCGGGGCTGTATGTCTGTGAATAAATGACCTTCTATAACAGGAATAACAACTTTGTGTCAGGAATAACGTGTATTTCAGAAGTTCCCTGAATGGAGTTACTTTGGGCTACAACTAGAGAGTTTAGCTTTTTTCTTCATGCCAGCTCAAGACTACCGGGGTCTTTGACAGTTTGGATTGCTGGTTAAAGGCAAAAAAAAAAAAAGCTTCATTTGGACAAGGGAGACCTATGTGCCATCCCCCTCTGCCTTCAGACACTGACAGTCGAAGGTCATTTCTTTCTATCGGAACCACAAGAAGTACTTAATGTACTCTGATAGTCTAAAATTTTCCTATCAAGTCTATTTTCCTATCTATCCTATCTATCAAGCTAGTTTCATAGTCTGACTCACAAGACAGCATAGGTGGCATTTTAACCAGCTGTTTTGCAAACACGTAATGCAGATCACTAACGTCCCAGCATGGGAAAGAGACATGCCCACGACCCTCCATCCTATCTCATTGTAGCCGATCTCACCTCTTAGGGCCTCCTTGCCTCACGCATCTCTGGTACCAGATTAATTATCAGTTAGGAACCTTTCCAATATAAGTAACAGAAAATTCAGCTCAAAGTGGCTAAAACAATAGACTGTATTCGTTCACATAACTAAACAGTTCTGATGCCACAGGTGAAGAGGCTAACTCACTGATCCTCAGTGCACAAGGTCAGCGGTTACATTCCAGCTGGCTTTCTGTGCTGTGTATCATATAAAGGAAGTCCCTCAAGGGCTTGGCCCCTTGCGAGGAGGGGACTCCATGGCTTTTCCTCACTCTTGTGCTGAGTCTTCTCCCTCTGTCTTTATTTCTCTTCCCAAAGCCATCCTCCTTATCAAAACTCTCCGCTAAACCCCAGTTCCCCCGCCCACCCCATCTTCCAATTCCTCTTGGTGAAAATGCAGCCCCTTCTACCGGGAGGTCTTGCTGCTCCTCAGATCTTTTCTTGCCCAAAGCTTCAGCCAGACAAGCCTTAGTATTCACTGCCATTCAATCCCTGAGGATGAACGTGGGTTCTCTAATTAAAATTCAATTTTTTTACCAGTGCTAACCTCCAGCCTGCTTGTTCCATTTCTAGATTGCCTGTTAAATAACAACAATTTTCAAAGAAAAATGTTGACTTTAATCAGAGAAAATACAGGACACTGATTGTTGGGCTCCAGCCATGGCCTTCAATCAGCGGCTATTAGTAAGTGTTTTGAGAGGCACCTTTGAATTGGTCTCCCTGGAACTCAATGTCTATTTTATAGACTGTTTGTTTGTTTCAGGATGCATCTAACAAAAATATTTTGACTTAAGGCCACTCTTTGACAGAAACACAGACATATATATATATATATATATTTTTTTTTTTTTCTGGAGGGCAATTTAATATGTAGACCCTTTAATAAATAAACACATAGATAAGTAAGTATGACAAATATTTATTGCATGCTGAGGAAACAGAGTAATGGAATTCATAAATTCCATTTATGAATTTTAAACTTGAAGCTAGAGAAACACAGTATACACATGTTGACTTCAGATTATAAAAAAGTAGCATGAAGAAAATAAAGAGAATATATTGATTCTATTAGTCAGGTTCTTGCCAGGAAACATAGTTTATCTCAGATGATTCCAATGAAGAGATTTTAGTGAAGGCACCACTTACAGAGATGTGAACTGGGATACAGGAACAAACAAGGGATGCTGAGGCACCCAGAGACCAGCAACATTAGGAAGCCATTAACATCTCTAAGAGCTGGCAGAACAGGCAGCTCTTCTAAGAGCTGGAGGGATTCAGTTATGCTAGAGACATAGTATAAAGCACAGGGAGAATTGGAAGGAAATCCTGCTATCTCAGTCTCCTTTTGTTCTTTTATCTCCAAAGGGAGACTGAGATAGCAGGATTTCCTTCTAATTCTCCCCATGCTTATTCTGTTGGCTGAATCTATCCAGAAACCAGGCAGCAAAAAAAAAGTTGGGAGATGTAAATGATAGGACCCAGTCTCTTGGGGAAAGAAAAAGTCAGAGAGCAGATTTGGGGTAGTGGGGCAGGGCAGGTCAGGGTAAGCATAGACTGCTTTAGGAACAATGATCAAGGGAAGGACAGGAGGAGGTAGCATTGTACACAAAGCCCAAATGATGAGCTGGAGCCAGCTGTGGGAAGTATAGGGCAGTGGCTGCAAAAACCTGTCTCTGGGCTAGACTTCTGATTTGAAGCTAGTTCCTGGTGTGTAAACTTGGATGACTTTACCCTCTCTGTGCCTCAGTTTCCTCATAATTGAAACAAAGCTAATAATCACACCGATTCCATTGCATTGTTTTGAAAACTCCATTAAATACAGATAAAGTACTTAGACCCATGCTTGGTATATAGTCAGCGCTCAATGAAATATTATTTTATTTGTATTTGGGCAAATGTTTATGAGCAGAGCAAGTACTGAGTGTAAAAGTTTGTAGTGAGAACTAGAGTAGCATGTCCCATGAATAAGGCTGATAATGATGTGGTTAAAGTAAAACTTGCAGTATAGGAATTCCAATTAGAAACTTATACTAAGAAAATGAAGTTATGTAAAAGTAAAAATGGGATGCTCATTGCAATGTTGTTTATAACAGAAAAATCAGGGAATGGGACAGCATTTCAAAAAATATAGTTCAATGGAGTAAAATGTAGCATATTCTTATATTGGAAAAGGTAGCTAATGACATGGAAAGTGGCGTATAGTGATGATATATTATTGTTAGCTCAGCAATAATATAAATTACATATTTAGATTTAATATTATAAATTTAATGATTTATATTTAATAATATGAATTAAATATAATTTAATTGCACTGCACTCCAGCCTGGGTGACAAAGTGAGATCTTGTCTCCAAAAGAAAACAAACAAACAAAAAGATGTCTGGTGTAAAACATGGCTTTTGTAGGAGGAGGCTGGCCATGATTTACTTGATATTAAAAATTATCAGAGATCTTCTGGATCAGAGCAGCTTCATCAATCTTTCCTTTTGTTATGTTGTCATGGTAACAATAGGGCTCAGGCTAAAGCAGCCCTTATAGTTCAGTGTAAATCATATTTAACATTTGAGAAGTTTCCCCTTTTGACTCATGCTTTGACTGAGACGTTGAAAGATCCGCATGGTGTGCTGAGACAATATGGTCAATAACGATCTTGATCCTAAAATCTAGATATACTAAAATTTAAAAGGTGTTTGTCTAGGAGTGGATGGCTTGCCGGGTTTTTGTATCTCTTCCTCTTCACCCTGACCTTGCTTCTTCTTCACTACAGTGTATTTTCTACTTTTTTTCCTGTTTAAAAATGCTGTATCACTTGTTTTTAAGATAAAATAATTCCCTGTCCCCTCCACCCTGCAGATTAAAATGCTAATCTGATGCTGTTGGCCTCCTCTTCAGAACACCTCAGTGTTTCTCTCCACCACCTGCAGTCAGAGGCAGGGTCCTGTGCTTCGCAGCATCGCTGTACCTCTCAGCGTCACCTGTACCTCTCAGCATCGCCTGTACCTCTCATCATCGCCTGTACCTCTCAGCATTGCCTGTACCTCTCATCATCGCCTGAACCTCTCATTATCGCCTGAACCTCTCATCATCGCCTGTACCTCTCAGTACTGCCTGTACCTCTCATCATCACCTGTACCTCTCAGCATTGCCTGTACCTCTCAGCATCACCTGTACCTCTCAGCACCGTCACCTGATACTCCCAACTAGCACTTGATGTTCTCAATCTTCCTGTAGTTTCCAAAACACAACTTGCTGTTTCAGGCCTCCTTGTCTTTGTTCAGGCTGTTCACTGGGCCTAAAGTATCACTTCCTCTTCAGCTATTCGTATTTTTTATTCTTCTAGTTTATTTAGGCATCACCTCCTCCAAGAACCTTACTCACTAGCAACCCCTCTTCCCACCCAAGCCACTCAGCTGTCCTATCATCTATTCTCTGAACTCAAAGAAGCAGGAATCTTGTGTCATTCATCACTGTGTCCCTAGAGCCTAGCATAGCACCTGGGATATAGTTGATGCTCAAGTAACATTGTTAAACTAAGCTGAACTGAATCAAGGGGGATTTGTGCTTCCTACAAGAGAGAAAAAGACAAAACATTTTTCTGGGGCCATGTACAGGTATTTTTCTGATACGATTCTAAATGTCTTGAAAATTTCCTTAAGAGAAGCATCCAGAAGGTCACACAAGCTGTTTCTAACTGACTCCACAAAGACTCAGCTATGAGTTGTTTGCTTTAGACAGACTGCAATCATAACATGGGCTCAACAGATCTAGAGGCTTTTTAAGGCATCAGCAAACATGTAGCATGCCACAAAAGCAGCAGGTGGGTTTATTGAGGGAGAGAAGCCAGAGTGTCAGCTTCTCAAACTCAAGATGTTAAAAACTCATCATTTTTTGATTCCTTCATCACTCACAAAAACAAAACAGACTCTAGTTTTCTCCAAGGTATCCAGTTTATTGTTTGTTCCCATTTTCCTTGCCCTCCACTTCAATTTATCTTCCCTACATTTTTTGATGCTGTGTGTCCTCCATCACCGTGTCCATCATCCACCTTCAGGCCACCATCATCTCACGTGAACGTGATGTCACATCCCTTCAACCTGCAGCCCTGTTTCTTTCCTATCATTCTCATCAAATAGCCTCACTACCAGCAGACATATCTTTCTAGAACACAGGTCTGATAATGAGTCTATGTGTGAAGAAGTCTTCAGTGTTTTCCCTGTTACCTACTGAATGAAATCTAAAGACCTGAGTTTGACATTCAATGTCCTCTACTATCCTCCACTATTTGCTTTTTTATGCGACTAAGCAAAATTGAGCCCATAACCCGAAATTCATCTAAAATACCCCAATTTCCATGAATATCAGTGATGATTTCTTCAACTGAAGGTCATATCGGACCCCTGAATGTTCTCATTTTTAAGTTTTTTTATGGTTTTAAGCCTTTTTGTTTCCTTTTTCTTTAACAGCATCCATACATGATTTATCATTGTGTATCCTCAAACAACTATCCTATTTTTTTGTGTATACAGAGTAAGCCATCTATAAATATTTGTTAAATAAGGCATTTGGGGCTAATTTCATAAACATTACTCCAAATAATATTTTTTGAGGCTACACATTAAATTATTTATAGTCAACTTCCCAATTGAAAAACTCTGTGGTTCTCTATAATTATTTAGCTTTATTGTGATATAATTGATATGTGAAATTTACATATTATATCTCAATAAAGCTAAAAATGTTAGATAATCAGAGTTTTTCTGCAATGTACAATTTAGAAAATGTACACAATGTACAACTAAAGACAAAATGTGCAATTTAATGTACACATTTCATTGAGCTTTGACATATGCATACACCAATTATACCATCCTTTACAAGGTATCTAAAGTAGTAAAAGTCATAGAAACAGAGAAGAGGGTGGTGGTTTTTAGGGGCGGGCTGAAGAGGGAAACAGGGAGTTGTTGCTTAAATGCTTAATTTTAGGTATCGACTAGGCAGGATTATGGAATATCTAGAGAACGGGTAAAGCACTGTTTCTGGGTGTGTCTCTAAGGATGTTTCCAGAGGACAGTAGTGTGCGAGTCAGTGGACTGAGTGGGGAAGATCTGTCTTTAATGTGGGTAGGCACCATGCAATCTGCTAAGGGCCAATTTGATAGAATAAAGAGGGAGAAAAGGATTGTCCTCTCTCTCTCTTTCCTAGAGCTGGGACACTCTCCGCACCCTGCCCTTCCACATCAAAACTCCATGCGCTCTGGCCTGGGACCCTGAGACTGCAGCACTTACACCAGCGCCCCCTGGACCCCCAGGTTCTCAGGCCTTCAGACTTGAACTAAAGATTAAACATTCTGCTTCCCTGATTCTGAGGTTTTTGGACTTAGACTGAGCCACAGTGCTGGCATCCCAGCAAGTCTGCAGCTTGATGGCTTGTTACCATACTCCTCAGCCTCCATAATTGTGTGAGCCAATTCTCCTAACAAATCCCCTCTCAAATTATCTATCTATCTATCTATCATCTATCTATCTATCTATCTATCTATCTATCTATCTATCTATCTATCTATCATCTATCTATCTATCCTCACACATATCCTATTGGTTCTGTCTCTTTGGAGAACCCTAACACATGGGCATAAAGTTTCACTTATGCAAGATGAATATGACATAGAGATCTGCTATATACAATACAATATTGTGCACTTTAAAATATGTTAAAAGGACAGATCTCATGTTAAGTGGTCTTACAAAAAAACACACACTCAAAAGAATACAAGTACATTTTTAGAAGTAATAAGATATGTTTGGTTCCTTGATTGGTTTGATGGTACCACGGTTGAATGTATATGTCTCTAATGTATTTTTCCAATTAGAACTGTTGTACATAACAGGCTACCCATCCTGATTATTCATCTCTGCCACTCAAAAATATTATCGTTTTTCTTGAAACATAATAATGCATCTCATGCTGTAGCTATTAGTTTATGTTCAGCTATACCAACAGTAGACTGTTGTATAGTATCAGAAAAAAACGTGTATTTTGTCTTATGTACACGATAAATAATTAGTCCAGGACAAATAAAATAGTGCAGTGACCTTCTGGGGAAAAATACTATCAATTTTCTCAAGTAGTGTTTGTTTGGTGTTAGTACCATCTAGTGGGAAATGTGAATAGTGTTCAAGAATTAAATCGGCATTGGAGAGTTAGTATTGAGACAGGCCTTGAACATTCACCTGGTCCAATATTCTCTATTATTCAAAGGAATAAACTGAGATTTAGAAACTTCAAGGACTTTCTCAAGATTTAGGTAAGGCTGAGCACCTATTATGTGAAATAAACTGTTAGGTGAAATGCAAAGAATTGTGTTTACCACCAACATGGAGATATAAGATATTAGTAAGTAAAATGTGATGATAAAATATTTGAATTATTCAATATGAGTAAAAAACTACTAATAAAATGAACACAAATTTCTATAAGAACTCAGAAGAGTAAGAAAAACATGCTAAACGTGCCGTGAGTAAAAATGCAGTTTTAGAAGAAGCGTAATTTGTGTTAAATCTTGAAAGCTGTGTAGGATTTGGATAGCTAGAGAAGCAAGGAAGGAATATTTAATGCAATGGAAAGGAGAGAAAAGGAGATATTCAAGGAACAAAAAGCAAAAGAGTAAGATGAGAAAGTAAAAGGGCATTAACTAATTTAAGTGAAATAGGTATGAGTAAATCAATTTGATATGAGAAGATAAAGAATAAATCACAAACTCTAATCACTAAATTGGGTCAGTGTAATGAAGGACTTTGTAATTCAAAGGCACAAAGCTTGGAATTGGTAATTCAAGTTCTTAAAGTAGCAGTGGTTACAGTTTCAAATTATGACTACATATCAATAATTTTTTAAAAGGCAAATATCTTAATGGTTTATGAAAGAGTACTTCTGGCTTGAAATAAGATTTCCACTAAAGGAACACACATTGATTCAAAAGGTGTTATATTTCAAATAACTTAAAGGGAAGTGAAAATGATGTGCTTTGGAAAATTGTGTTGGATGATTCACAAAGTAGCTCTGATGACAAAGACACTAAGGTCAAAGACGTAGGTGAAAAGTTAGAATGAAATTGTGGCATGAAGTCCAGCTGAAAAAGGATTCTGACTAAATCATTCAACTTTATTAAGTATTACATGTGACTTAAGTGTGGAATAAAATGAATAAATGAAATAGAAACATAAAAAGAAGTGTAGTAATAACTGCCATTTATTGCTTTTTGGCATTATTGGGATTGTGCTTTACTCTGTCTCAGTTATTTTTGATATGTTCTGCATTCCTCACATTTTTATAACATATTTTTTGTATAATCAGAAAAATACATTTTTCAAAACTGAATAAACAAAGAAGCTTTTTGCATTTAATTTTTCTTTAAAAGTTATACATTGACATGGTTTAACATTCTCAGGAGTATATAGTGAAGGAGTTTTTCTTGCTTGCCCGTGTCTTGGGAATGGATCTTGACTCCTGGGAGACACAGCGTAAAGGGAAAGCCATAAATCCAACATTATTATTTTTCTAGCACTTTTAGTGGTTTCGGTATGTTTATTGAGTAATCAAACTTTGCCTTACTGATTTGTGATGTCATAATCATCATAAACAAAATTTCAACATATATTGAAAATTATGTGCTTTATAATTCAACATATATTGAAAATATGTGCTTTACTTAAAATCTTTTTATTCTGATCCATTGATGTGTCTCTCTAACCATGCACCAGTAACAGTCTTCAAATCACTCTGATTTTATAATGTTTGAAAATACAAAAGACCAGGATTCCTCATAACTCTTCTCTTATAGAAGTGTCCTGCTGTTCATTCTTTTTTCTTTTCCATGTGATTTCAGCATCATCCTGTCTACAGTTAAAACAAATCCAGTTGCAACTTTCACTGGGTTTGCATTATAATTATTAAATTGCTTAGGGGAAATTGGCATATTTATAATGTTCAGTCTTATTCAAGAACATGGTCAAGTTTGTTGCTTTAGTAAGCACTGTTACTAAGCTTTTTTCAGATAGTATTTACATGTTTTGTTAAATTTTGGAAATTTAATTTTCTTATTTTATTAGTAATTTGATTTTTTTGAATTGTGTTTAGAAAATAATGCAGGCATTCATTTTACTTTTGGAAATTAGGTTTATTTTAGGCTTGATATGTGGCCCTTCCTTCCTTCCTTCCTTCTTTCTTTCTTTTCTTTCCTTTCTTTCTTTCCCTTTCCTTATGAGTTTTCTACTGGCATTTAAAAAGAAGGTTCGGCCGGGCGCGGTGGCTCACGCCTATAATCCTAGCACTTTGGGAGACCGAGGTGGGTGGATTATCCGGGGTCAGAAGTTCAAGACCAGGCTGGTCAACATGGTGAAACCCCGTCTCTACTAAATATACAAAAATTAGCCTGGCGTGGTGGCAGGAGCCTGTAATCCCAGCTATTCAGGAGGCTGAAGCAGGAGAATTGCTTGAACCTGGGAGGCAGAGGTTGCAGTGAGCCGAGATCACGCCATTGTTCTCCAGCCTGGGCAACAAGAACAAAACTTCGTCTCAAAAAAAAAAAAAAAAAAAAAAAAAAAAAAGAAAAGAAGAAGAAGGTTCATTGTCTGTTTTCAGGTTTCAGAGACTGTGAAGTATTAATTATATCTATTTTGTTAATTATGCTATTTAGACCTCTATGTGTTTTTTCCCATAATCTGATACAGAGTGAAAACAGTTGAATTCCTCACTCCTGCTAGTTCTATGTTCCTATTACCTCTTGAGTCACTTCTAGATTTTGCTTTATAAAGGTTGACTTTATTTCATTTGAAGTTTATGTAGTTATAACTATAATATCTGCTGTGTTAATTATATTATTTGGTCTTATTACATGCTCTTATATGACATTAACTTTTTTGTCTGATATTAAGATTACAATTCTTGCTTTACTCTGATATTAAGATTACAATTCATAATTTTACTGTTTAAAAGTGTAATACTAAAGTATTGCATAGTGTCCCTAAGTACAAGAAAGCTGTGATGTGCTTTTACAGAGAAAATATAGGTGTTAAATAACCTTTGGCACACCATGAGTTCAATGTTAACAAGTCAACAATGTAGTACTTCCAAAAACAGAAACAGAAAAAAAGAAAAAGTATGCCACTACTCATGCTTTTCTTTTTAAATATTATAAATCTCTTTGCTTTAACTCTGTTTCTTGTGAACAGAGTAAAATTGAACTTTGTTATTTATATCGAAACTCTAAGTTACTTTAATAAGTGAGTTTGTCTATTTATAACTGAAATGTTTATTTTAGGATAGAGCATTGGATTTTATGTTAAGCTTGGTGGATTTGTAGCTTTAAAAAACATGTGTTGTATGTTTTATTTTTTGTGTCATTCTAACATTGAAGATTTAAGATCATTCTAACTTAAGATTTAAGTTTCATTCTGGAGGTTATGTTTTAGATCTCTAATTTTGTGCAATATCCTTAAGCTTCTGTTTCTTTACATTGAATTAATTACTTCCCACATGAATGTAATTACCTGTTATGGACAATAATGGAATTTGTCTATATACTCTTTATCCTGCCTTCCTGTCTCTCCTCTCTCATCTGATTTTAGTTGAGCATATTACCATTCTTAGTATTTATTCTTATCAATTAAATGTACTTATATCTGTTTTACTTGATTTGCCAGATTTAAGTGAAATACTTTTGCTCTCAGACATTAAAGATGAGGAAGTCAGCATTACACAATCTCCTATCTTCTTTTCTTCCATTTTTTGTCATTTGTACTTATTTCTATATTTTCAAGTCATGTTTTTGGCATTTGCATTCTGCCCTGCCAGCTAAGTCCTCATATTTACTTTCATCACAGTCCTACAAATAAAAAGATTCAATGCTCACTGCCACTTCTGTCACTGATTTTCTGGGACTGACATTCTTTGGTTTCTGTTATGTTCTATACTATTTGTGTCTTTTCATTTGTACAAACATTTGGCTGGGTAAAAAACTTGTGTGATACTTTCTTTCCTGGAGGATTTTTGTAAATGTTCCTTCACAAACTTTAGCTATGCTATTGGATATTGCTATGAAAATGTACAAATCTAGACTGACTCTATAAGTAGCTTTACTTTTGCCTAGCTAACCACATGATTCTCTCTTTATATTTTAAATTTAGTAACATTACTAGGATGTATCATTATACTTCCATTCTGTGTCAATTTCCCAAGGACATAGTTTGCCTTTTCAATATCTAGATTCATGTCTAATTTTTACTTCAGAAGAATATTCTTGAATTATAACTTAAACTACTTTTACTTTATGACTTAAATTTTCTAGAAAATGAACATATCAGCACTCTTACACCTATCTTCCACATTTTTCATGTGTCAATTTAAGAAAAAAAGACACCAGAGAAGATTATCTCCCAACAAAACAAATGTATTTGGGAGTAAATAAAGAGAATTATAATCTGGGATGTACTATGGCAAATACAGTGAGGGAAGAGTAAAGGAAAACTTTTATTGCCAATGGTTGAAGTTTACGTAAACTGCTCAGAAATAGAGTTCATTGGATTCATTGGCTCAAAGCCAGAGATATTGGTTCATTGGTGGAGATGCTATTACTCGGCAAGTGTTAAGGGAACATCTTATCGGAATTGCTGCAATCCTAAAGAATGTTTAGTGATAAACCTTATCATAAAAGTATGTGTATATATGAGAAACATGCAAGAATTTCTCGTGGGGTTATTTTTTAAAGTCCTTTAGACTGTGTGTGTGTGTGTGTGTGTGTGTGTGTGTGTGTGTGTATCTCAGACAAGTAAGCATGAGTTCCTTTCCTTCATGCCCTCCTGACCCCAATTTGTGTGTGTTTGACTGGTTACTTCATCCTGGTATCGGCAGCTTTCACATTTCCCCATTCTGATCAAGATCTTTCTCCAAAAGCATTGCTAATTCATTTTCATTCTCTATTTCAATTTGGGTATACTTGCTTTTATTATTTATATGCTCAATATTCCTTTGTGTGTTTCCAGCAATGTCTCTATTCTCCTTATACCTGTTCCAATTTCAACTTTATTTCTGAAGTATTTTTGTACAAAATTTCATTTCTACTTTAAAATTTGTGTGATCATACTTTATTTCTTTTTTATTATACTTTAAGTTTTAGGGTACATGTGCACAACGTGAAGATTAGTTACATATGTATACACGTGCCATGTTGGTATTTATTTCTACTACATCAAGATATTTGAGTATTTTTGAGTCTCTGCAAAGTCTTGAGTCTCTGAAAGCTCTTCTTATTTTGTAAAGAAAAGGGCTTCCTTTCAGAAGTGTTTGCCTACCACATTCATCTGTATTGTAAAACAAAATTCTCTTGTGATTTTTTTTAATCAGCCATTAAGTTTTCCAGCTTTTTCCTTGTAGAATAATTTGTAGATGCAGATATTCTCTTTATTTACAGATTCCGTATTTGTAAATATGCCTACTTGCTAAAATGTGTTTGTAGCCCCAAATCAATACTCAGGCTACTTTTGTGGTTATTCAAGGGCGTGTCCAGTGTGGCAAACATTTGAGTCTCCAGATGTGCATGTTTCTGGCTGAGATCAAACAGGACAACGCTCTGTCTTCTTGGTTCAGCTCTCAAACTGTAAACTAGCGTTCTTTCTGCAGGCTACCCCGGTGCCACATTTTCCATGTTCTTGTGCTTTTTGTTGATAATTTTACTGTTTAAAATGGCCCTCAAGTGTAATATTGAAGTGTTATACAGTGTTCCTAAGCACAAGAAAGCTGTAATGTGACTTTACAGAGAAAATAAATGTGTTAGATAACCTTTGGTACCGATTTAATGTTAACAAGTGAAAAATACAGTACTTCCAGAAAAAAAAAAAAGAGAAAATTTACCAATCTGTATGTGAGACTACTCAAGAAAGTGCTAAAGTAGCAACTATAGTGTGCTATGAAGCTATGGCAGAGATGAGTGACTAAATGTGTGCATGCATAAAATAACAGCTAATAAAAAGAAAACAAATAACAGTCACAACAGCAAAACCACAGTGGGCAGCACTATTGTGAGGTTGAAAGCCAAAGAAATTTATGATCATATTATCTAAGATCAAGAAAATCTTAAACCCTTCTCAGCTAGTGCTGGCTGGGTCACATGTTACCAAAGGAAATGCAGCATGGAAAATGTTAAACTTGCAGGAAAGATAGGTTCTGCAGGTAAGAAAGCTGGAGAAGAATTTTTAAAATAAAGGCTAAGTGTTATACAGAAAAAGGATTACATGGACGAGTTGTTTTTCAACACTGATGAAACCAGCTTGTTTTACAAGGATATTGGCAAAGGAACTCATATAATGTGAATGCAAATTGTATTTAAGTTGATGAAATGCTGCTGTGAAAGGTTTGCAGGACTGTAACCCTGTATTTATTTCCCCTAGGAGCAATAGCTGAGGTTTTGTTAATTCCCCTCAGAGCAATAGCTGAGGTGATTGTATAGAACATAATCCCTGTAAATAACAAGAATTACATTATTCTGGTTTTCTTTATTTTTAAAGCAGATGACTTTATTCCCCAGACAAGCATGTTTCCAGGGATTTGTATGATGGAAGAGCCAAAACCAACAGAACATTTCCTTATGATCCAGGGTTTTCAGTGTGTTTGAGCTTTACTTTCTCACAGCCAGGGAGAGTGTGCAACTTCAGGTTTTGTTGTTGTTGTTGTTGTTTTTAACAATAAAGAATATCTTCTTTTAGCCTTTTCTACAAAGATAATCCTTTTCATGCAAATGACACTTGCGGCATGGCTCCATATTTAGTCCATCTCTTCTACTTTCTGATCCAAGCCAGCTCCCTGGATGATCTTCCAAGAAACATTCCAAGCCAAATTCAGTAATTGCTTTAGCTTACTGCGTAGAGAGAGGTAGAGAGAACTCACCCTGTGGTCTCATGAAGTTCAGGAGAAACAGTTCAACTTCCTAAATGCTAAGCTGATTAGTATTAACATGGCAAGGTACCAGAGGAGAAAGACATCTCAGAGAGATCGAGTTAGAGATAGAGAGAGACAGACAGAGAGAGAGAGAGAGAGAGAGAACTTTGACAGAGAGACAGAGAGAGAGAGAACTCCAGATATCTTCAGAGAGTTCTCCTCAAACCTGTGGCTGAATACTGATCAGCCCATCTCTATAAGAAAACAAATGTGGCTGGGGAAAAACCATCAGAAACAAACAGGGAACAGTTATTCTCAGAGCTCACACCAGGCCAGGAAGAGTTCATGTCCCCATCAGCTAGAGTGAAACACCTCTTAACATATGGCCATTGAATAGAGTCCTGGAAAGTGGCAATAAACAATGGCATCAATAGTTGGATTCAATGGTGGTAATAAGAATAACCCCAGATTAAAGACTGCTGTGGGCTTAACAAGGATTGCTAGCAAGCCCCAAAGGTCATTCTTAATGGGAAATTATTAAGTCTTTCACTTTCACCATGTGAAGGGGTTGCTGCTTATTCCTAGTTTGATGGAAGTTTTATTATGAGTAGATTAATTCAATTTTTTTTCCTTTCTATTGTGAAATTTTTAAATATATAGAATTTTAATAGAATAATATAATGAACACCCATATCTCCTTCTACATTAACTAATTCTTAATTGTTAATATTTTGACATTTTCTATATATTTATTATCCATTTATATTGCTTCCTCTTGATACAGATATAGATGTAGATATAAGATATAAATACATCAGTGGATATATATATTATATATATGCTGAATCACTTAAAAGTACGTTTTAGACATTGTGAGTAAATCTTAATAGAATATATGTACACGTACATGCACACACACACACCCCTATATACCACGGAATAATTTAGCAAGTATTTTCTAAGAACAAATATTAAATACAATATCATTATCACACTCATGAGTTTAACATTAATATGATAACACTATCTAAAAATGCCTCTTTGGGTTTCTATCTTGTTATTCAATTCAGGATCTAATCAAAGATTGTTTCAGAGCATTTAGTTTCTTACCTGTTTAGTCTAATTTTATCTCAAACCATTCTCTTACTCTTTGTCTTTCATGTCATTGGGATTCTTTGAAGAGTGCAGTCTACTTGTTTTGTAGAAGGTCCTGAAATTTGGAATCCTCATATCCAGATTCAGATAAAGCTTTTTTGGAAGTAATTCTACATAGACATGTTGTATGCTTCTCAGTGCATCACATCAGGAGACATATGATGTCAGTGTGCCCCATTATTGATAATGCTATTTGGTGATTTGTTTAAGTGTTTTCCACCATTTCTTCATTGTAAGGGTATCTTCTCCTTTGGGAATTCATAAGTACTCTACAGCATGAATCTGGGAGACTACCTGAAGATCCTGTCAGAGGTGTTTAAACCAGAGAAACTCTATCTTGAATAGGGGCTGTGTAAAATAAGGCTGAGACCTACTGGGCTGCATTCCCAGGAGGTGAAGGCATTCTTAGTCACAGGATAAGACAGAAGGTCAGCATAAGATACAGGTCATAAAGACCTTGCTTATAAAACAGGTTGCAGTAAATTAACAAGCTAAAACCCACCAAAACCAAGATGGCTACCACCTCTGGTCATCCTCACTACTACACTCCCACCAGCACCATGACAGTTTACAAAAGCCATAGCAACGTCAGGAAGTTACCCTATTTGGTCTAAAAAGGGGAGGCATGAATGATCCACCCCTTGTTTAGAATATAATTAAGAAAGAAACACAAAAATGGGCAACCAGCAGCCCTCGGGGCAGCTTTGTCTAAGGAGTAGCCATTCTTTATTCCTTTACTGTCCTAATAAACTTGCTTTCATTTTATGGACTTTTCCTGAATTCTTTCTTGCATGAGATCCAAAAACCCTCTCTTGTGGTCTGGATTGGGATCTGTTTCCGGTAAAAATCCTATCTCCTAAGATATTTTCAGTCAATTATTTTAGCATCCACTGTTTGCTTGAATAAATTATTAAGTTGGCTCCAAGGTAGTCATTTCATAATTCTTTCAATTCTTTTTACATTTATTAGTTGGCATTCTTTTCTCCATATCCACCCTCCATCTTTACCTTGCTCTCTGCCCTGTAAGACTGATCTGTAAAAACTACGGCTCTGCAGCCCTCTGGCTTCCTAAGTCTGGCTTATTGGAAGCAAAGACAAGAGAAACAGGAAAGAGGGAGAACTGTGAGGTCAAGAATTTATTCACTTCCTGCAGGGTAAATATGGACTGAACCAACTGACTCTGATTCAAGTTCCTATTTAGCCAACCCTTCTACATAGTCATCCTTGTCTCCAGGTTCTAATAACAGCCATCCTCTCTTCTCATTTAGGCCTAGAGGTTGTATAGGAGTTTTATTACAAGCTCAGAATCCTGCACTATCCTGGTATCTTGCACCCTTGCTTGTGGTTTTCCCATATTCCTCTCATACCTTTGTAAATAGTCCTTTTATTAAACTTTTCTCAAATGGCGTAACTTGTGTCATTGTTTTCCTGCTATGACCCTTGGTGTTTCATTTGCTTTGCTCACTTCCTTTTATTTCTCTTTCACAAGAATCACAGCTGCATTCAATGGCTCTTCCAAACTTCTCTGGATTCCTGCTCATTTTTCCTCATGATGTTTTTACAACAAATCTTTTGGACATCTAGTCTATCTTGGCATTTGCTGCTTGGAGGACCTAGACAAACATTGTAGTTTATTAACTTCAAGCATTCCCATGCCATAGACTTTAGTTAAAGCTTATAGAAGAATTGAAAGAGTTGAATATGTTGCCATCAATTTAGTATCTATCAAGAAAGATTCTCTTGTACTAGCATTTCAATAAAGGTGCCTGAATTGAGTGTGTGTCAAGGGGGTGGTTAGACTTGGGGTTAAAAACAACTGGGAAAGATATAAGCTAGCAGCATATGTTAAAATCAGAACCGTATTAACTTGAAGAAGTTCTAACTCATATCCTTTACTCTTATGTCTTCAGTTAATGTTGCCCTGTTTTTGTCTTCCTTGCTGTTTCCAGGGAAAGAATATTCAAGGCATTTGTTTGGATGGTGGAACTAGGGTCTATGTGTAGGTCTAGAGATGGCACATGCACCTTCATGCTAAACTCTCCATCAGCAGAAAAGTGGAAAAGACTTTAGAATGAGTTTTAATTTCTGGGGCTGTCACTTATATGACCTTGGAAGAGTTCTTTAGCTTCGATGAACTTGTCTCTTATTTTATGAACAGGGAGGTAATAAATATTCACTTTTAAACATTTTTTTGAGGATTGGTGAAACTGCCTATAAAGGACTTAGCACTGTGCCTAGAATATTGTAGGATATTTGGTCTATTATTTTTGTCTACATGTGTGAATTAGAAAAAAGCCCAATCTATTGATAAGATGTTTGGATCTCCAGTCTCCAAGGAGAGTGTCTCCTCACTCCACTTAAACACCAATGCTGGTGCCCCACAGCTGTGTAACCAGGACTTGTTCCCAAAGGCCAAATGCCTGTGGTCTCTGGAGCAGTTGCCTGAAGAGTGCTGCTGCTGTAATTAATTGTGGTAAAGTTTTAATGAACCCCATAAGGATATTTTTTTCTGACACTTACTTTGTAAAACCTAAAATAGTTTCTATTCCTATGAGATCAATTATAAAGTTTTTTTTTTTATCTTTACCAAGATGCCTGAGACAACTTTCCAGCTGTGTCTTTTTAATGAATTCTCCACATGGCTCCTGGGCCATTGGTTCTTCCTACACTGAGACAGCAGGAGCTCCCGGGGAGCAAGGCATGGAAACTTCTGAGATCCAGAAGATGATTTCCCTGGGAAGGCTCAGAAGTGCACATTCCTTTCAACTTAGAATCTCTCTAGATTCATTCACAGCCACTGAGGGAGGGAGGAAGTGATGGAGAGTACTCCAGAAGGCCTTAATATGTCTCTTATAGATCAGGCCTTTCTCATTAGTTTTATATTTGAGTCTAGACTTTGGGCCTCTCAGCTCTGTCTTGTTGACTAGCAACTAGAGGAGGTGTGCTATAGATCAAATCCTCAATATAGATATGAAAAGCATATCTATACTCTTACTAACCCCAACCCCAGACTCAGGCTACCTCTGGTCTTTAATTAACCTGATGGATGTGCCAAATGATCCCTCACTCCCAGGAAATGTGCTTATCCACATACAGGCCAGTTTGGACATTCAATTGAACGAATTACTCAATTTGTGATGAAAAACATTTAATTTAAGCTACTTTGGAGAAATAAGTTTAGGTCTATAAGGCCAATTTATGAAATAGACTGACATTTATTGCTGAAGTAACCAATTCTTTTGAGCTTTCATTCACATTGGTTTTTACACTTACCATCTGTCTGACATCTCAGCAGCATTGAGATTAAGGTAATTGAAAAAAGAAGCCAGGGTGGATTCGATTTAATATAGACAGTCCAGTCAGTAGAGGTATTGCCAAGATATATCTGATGGAATTTTATAAAGAGGCTTCAGCTCATTATTGAAAGGTAAACAATACTGACACTTATAAAATACTTCCTGGAAAAAAGTAAGCCAGCAAGGTACTAATAGTCAAAAAAGTTTCCTGGATATGTTAGGCAATTTTGTTTAGATAAATTCAATTTAATTTATATAGGGTGATCAGATGGTCAGAGGTTTTAGAGAGAAAGTTCTTAGAGTGAAGAATTAGTTAACAGAAATATACAATTTTAGGTGATTATAAGTGGTCTCTTAAAGCAGAGAACATTTATCATACATGCTTATCTCTTTTTCCTCCCCAGCTACCACTAAAATGGCAAAAAAGCAAAGGTATAATCCACAGAAAAATATAAAATTAGAGGGAAGACAGAAGCAGACCAGAGAAACTGCAGATTTCTTTTTCAATACAGAAAGGCACAAGGGGAGTAGTAACCAACTTATCAGATAAGAAGCTACCAGCTAACAAGCACGCAAAAGAGAAACCACTTAGAAGCACAGTGCATTCCTTTCAAGGGTCCTCAGGAAACTTCAGACTAGCAATAGTTGAGAACGAGAATACAAAAAGGGTGAAAACAGGGGTGTAAGCTGAAAATCTATTATTACAGCAGCTGAATCCTCTGTCCTCTTTACCACCACCACTCGGTTAGGCAAAAACGTGCCCTAAGCAGGAGCCTAGAGGTTATTCTATGGAAAAATTGAAGATAAGGCTTAGATTGCAAAATCTTAGAGCAGAAGACAGTGAGGCTTGGGACTGAACTCAGAGAAATCAATAACCAATGTGAAGACCCAGGGAGGAGAGTACGCCCCATGATGCTCCCTGCCTCTCAGTCTTTCATACTCAGGTACATTCTCTTCTTTCTCATTTTATAAATTAACAATATGTTAGAAAGATCATTCATCATGACCAGTGGGATTTATCCCTGTGATGCAAGGATGGTTCAACACACAAAAATCAATCAGTGGAATACATCATATCAACAGAATGAAGGACAAAAACCATATGATTATTGCAGTTGATGCTGAAAATACATTTGATAAAATTCAACATCCCTTCATGATAAAAAAACCCTAAAAAAACTGGTGATAGAAGGAACATACCTCAACATAATGAAAGCCATCTATGACAGACCCACAGCTAGTATCACAACAAATGGAGGAAAACCTGAAAGCCCTTCCATTAAAATGTGGAACACGACAAGGATGCCCTCTTTCACCACTGTTATTTGACGTAATACTGAAGGTCCTAGCTAGAGCAATCAGACAAAAGAAGGAAATACAGGAATCTGAATTAGGGAGATACAGTAGCTGTCAGTAGTATATTTGCAACTTTTTGTAAAATTATTTTAAAATAAATTATTTGTAAAAATTACATAATATTATGACAAAGAGAAGAAATTTTATTCTTAAAACAAAGTCATCCTTTGAAACTATTAAACTTATAGTAAATTTTTTAGATGTCAACTTAAAATAATGCAAGGGAGTTTGGAAGTTTTCAAAATTCTTTCAATGCCAATGACTTATATCATGCTTGAATTTTCTACCTAAACATAAACTCATTTCTCTAATTCTAATTCCAATTAGATATCTTAACCTATTTCTATTTGAAAACAAAGGAATTAATAATCATATAATCCACTGGATGAATTTGTAAAATTTAAAATCAATGAAAAATCTAAAAGAATTACAGTTTCTCCATATAAAAACCCAAACATTAAATGGAAACATATTTGTAGCAAACAAAAACACAGAATCCATAACTCTAATGAATAAAAAGTGCATGTAAATTAATAACAAATATTGTTATATGCACGGTTTGCTGATATTAACTACTTTTTTCATTCATTCAGCAAGCATTTATTGAGTGCTTTCCATTGGCCAGGTCCTGAGCCAGGCACTCTGGATAGGAAATGCAAATGCCCAATAATACAATAATGTTACATTCAAATTTCCTAGTAATCAGACATATCCAAATTAGAAAGTTGTAGTTTTAGACTATCAAATTGTTGAAGACAGTTTAGAAATTATATGCAGGCACACTGAGAGAAACATGAAAGCAGGGAGTTGTTTAAAAAATTGGTTGGGAGGCCGAGGCGGGTGGATCATGAGGTCAGGAGATCGAGACCATCCTGGCTAACAAGGTGAAACCCCGTCTCTACTAAAAATACAAAAAATTAGCCGGGCGCGGTGGCGGGCGCCTGTAGTCCCAGCTACTCGGGAGGCTGAGGCAGGAGAATGACGTGAACCCGGGAAGCGGAGCTTGCAGTGAGCCGAGATTGCGCCACTGCAGTCCGCAGTCCGGCCTGGGCGACAGAGCGAGACTCCGTCTCAAAAAAAAAAAAAAAAAAAAATTAGTTGGGAGGGAGTGCATCAGGATAAATAGCTCATGCCTGCAGGGCTTAATACCTAGGTGATGGGTTGATAGTTGCAGCAAACCATCATGGCATATATTTACCTATATAACAAAACTGCACATTCTGCACATGTATCCCAGAACATAAAATAAAATAAAATAAAATTTTAAAAAAATTAGTTAAAAATGGAAAAATTAATTGAATCAATCTTTTTAAAGAATAACTTTATAATATTATAATAACTACCTCTTTATTTTTCAACTTAGCTCTAATGAGAACTCTGCAATATTACTTTATACCCAATTTACAGATGGAAAAACAATTTGGAGATGTTAGTTATCTTGTCCAAAGCCACATAGAGAATCATCAGTTAAAATTATATTGATTGATAGATTGCCTAGATTATCATGGTAAGTGGCAAACAGCATCAGAAATTTTATGTATAATGTGAGGTCTATTAAGCTAAAAATATATGAAAATTGGGAAAAAGAAACCACCAAATGTCAACAAATCTACCTTTGAGGTGTGGCCTGATGGGTGAATTTCATTTTCTTCCATGATGAGCACAGGTGGTATTTTAAAATAAAAGAAAGACAAAAGCATTTTAAAAGTTGTTCTGCATGAGAAGCACTAAGGCCCGTGAAACTCAATCAGACAGCAAGACCATCTTTCCATGTGACACTAATGTGCCTCCTAACGCTTCCCAAAGGCAACATAATAGACATGGAATAGGGCAGTGGTTAAGAGCATGGAATTTGATGTGCATTTAAGGTTACTTAAGCTCTTGGATTTTTAATTTTCTTATTCATATAAAGTCATTTCATTTTGGGTATGCTGCATGAGAGTATATATACAAGGTTCCTGCCACATATCAATAATAGAACCAATGTTTCAATTATGGTTACTAGTAAAGCTTAGAAGGTGGGTGTTGTTTTTCTAGAGATAAATGTGTACTCAATTCAAGCCTTTCAGATACAGTTAACAACTAAACATGTAAAGAATACATCTAAGAAGAATATACAAATTTAAGTTAGATAATTTTTATTTATTTCAAGTGAATTCAAAGGGAGGCTGACTGATAAGTAATTCACTGTAATGGATAATTCCAACTCCTCTGTAGTTGTTCAAATACTGAGAACTGAGCAAGATACACCAAATCTCAAACCTCTAAACTCCTCTGAGTGACGAAGAGGAGATATCTTATGGCCTGGAGCCCTTGGGGATATTGAACATTCTGTACGTGGGTCCTTTCCATATCAGTAATCATTAAATCTTATGATTTGCAACCAGATATCAATCTAGAAAACTGAAGAAAAAACTTGCTTTGAACTCCAGTTTCCAGGCACTCTTGAATTCTCTTTGACTTATGCCCATTCTAATTATTAAAATATGAAACTCCTCTTACTCTCTTGATCAATGATAAATCAATAATCTTTGATTAATATACAGGCATTTCAGATTTTTATACAGTTATGCAGGTTGTTTTTAAGAACAGAAAAGACATTTATATTGCTACTTTCCGTGACAATAATGTGTCCAGACTTGAAAACATGAAACAACTTAAAAATTAAAAAGCCTTGGGAGTGGTGGCTGCTATCCCACAATAACACTGGGTCACAAATGAGCCCTCCTGGATACGGGTACATGGCTTATGCCCAGCCAACATTTAATGTGGAATGTTGGTATAAATGTGAGGAATTCAGCATTAGACTTTTGCAAAAGATCTATTGGTTAATTATGTTATTAAAGATTAATCTATAAGCTATTTGTCAAGAAAGAGGGAAGGACAAATTAAAATTATATTTTTCTTGAAATGAAGAATCAGGCTACCTGTGAGAGAAGGAATCACTGAGTCAGTGGGATTTCTGCCTAAGGTAGCCTACGCATGGTCTCACATTTGTGCCTTCCTAGGGATAGGTAGACTGGGGAGGTAGAGGACATGTGTACACAACATTAGTTAACACCGGAGCTTTGGGATCTGAGGCTGCTGATAAGTTTTTGTTGTTGATATTCTGGGTGGGGGTCATTCATTTATTTTTGCTATTTGTTATCTCATTACCTCAAATCCCTTGTTTGAGATTCTTCATTAAATTATGATCTCAATTAAATCTGGAAACAATTTACATTCAGAAGAGAGAAGATACCCTGCTGTGGAGACAGGACCCGAGAGAATATATGGAAGAAAAGTGACAATGAGGAAAGGTTAAAGATAAAAGTAAGAGAGGGAGGTGAGAAGGCAAGCATGCAAAGAAAACGACAAGGGAGATGGGAGAAAATGATGGAGAAGAAAGAAGTCAAAGGGAGATCAGGAGAAAGAAACAGGATAGAACGTAGGCAGAGGAAGAAGCTCTGCAACTGAGTTTCTTGCAAGTCATTTTAATAGCAGTGGCAATTCATGAGCAAAAAGATATGAGTACAGTCTGCTTTTCTAAGGCCATAAAAACAAGATTTTTAAATAAAAGTGCATATTTCATGAAAAACGTAAAGAAAGTGACTAACATATAATGATCTTGATGTTTTTCAATTAGTCACTATGAAATAAAACTAAGCATCATTTATTTTTTCACTTATTTATTCAGCAAGTCAATTGAGCATCTAACTACTGTGACAAGCTAGTGGGACTTCAGTATAATGGACAAGCAGACATAGTCCTTGCCCATAATGAACTTCGCTTCTAGTAGAAGAGGCAAAGAAGCAAATAATGAAAAGACACACAAATTCTAGTTTACTGTATGTGCCGCTCTGCTAGATAATAGCAATGTGGTTGGGGGAGGAAGGGATAAGAGCTAATTAAAGTGATAACTCTTGACACAGGGACCAGCATATGTAAAAACACTGATGCTGGAAATAGGTTAACGTGACCTAGAATTTGTTCTAGGTTCGGTGTGGCAATGACACACTGATCAAAGATGAGAACAACCGGAGTTATGATTTAAGAAGCAGGGAGGGCCAGATCATTTAGTGCTTTTAAAGCATTCAAAGGGAATTTGGATTGTACATTGCTCAAAGAGAGGGCACTGAAGATTTCTAAGCAGGAGAGATAATATACTATATACTAGTATATACTGTACTACATATACTATATACTAGTATATACTGTACTACATATACTATATACTAGTATATACTGTACTACATATACTATATACTAGTATATACTATACTACATATACTATATACTAATATATATTTTACCAGATATACTATACTTTGCATTTTAAAATACTAATAGGATACTTTTATTAGTTTAGTGGATTTTGTCAAGTTTGCCCAGAATGAAACCTCACAGAGGTTAAGAAAGGCACAGATCAAGTGTTCTCATTTAACCAATAATGATTTTAAGACAAAGGTTCCATTTATTTCTGTTACTTATAAGATAATTATGTAAATAATAAAACATTATGTATAGTACACTACAGGCTGTGCGGTCCAGAACGGGAACCAAATCTAAGGTTATACAATAAAATTTTATTTTGTATAGTGAATCTGTATCTGCTTACATCATTCAATTTGGAAATAGTGTGAAATATATAAATTATAAATATGAAGGTCAACACTCTCTCTTTTTTTTATCCATGCACCCCAGGAGACTGTAGATTGTGGTGGTGGCATTAAAGAGCAGGTGAACAGACTTCAACTTTGGAGAGTAAGATGAATCAAGAATGACTCAGTTTTTCATTTGAGTAACTTGCAGGTGGCAGTGATGCAACTTATCATGATAGGTAAGACAAGGAAAAGAAAATTATGCATTCCGTTTTGAATACACTAGCTTCAAGATGCCTGGGTTCTCATCTTAAATCTGCCCTTAGTCTTAATGAAGTCATATCTTCTCTAGCTTCAGAGTTACCTTTAAAATGACATCTGTGGATAAAATCGTCTTTAAGATTCTTTGCATGCCTAAAAGTTTCTTAAGTAGCACTTTACATTTATGCTGAGCTTTAGCATTTGCAAGGTACATTTTGATGCCTCATAAAAGGTATAGTACTCTTTTTATGCTGGTAGCGCATGAGCCATGCTTTCAGAAACATTTCTTCATTATCTACGGTGTCAACCAAATGCTTAGCAGTTAGAGGCAAAGATTGATAATTGAGTGGTTTTCAAAAAAACAAGAGATTTATAATCCTTTGGGTGTATACCCAGTAATGCTGCTATAAAGACACATGCACACGTATGTTTATTGCGGCATTATTCACAATAGCAAAGACTTGGAACCAACCCAAATGTCCAACAATGATAGACTGGATTAAGAAAATGTGGCACATATACACCATGGAATACTATGCAGCCATAAAAAATGATGAGTTCATGTCCTTTGTAGAGACATGGATGAAGCTGGAAACCATCATTCTCAGCAAACTATCGCAAGGACAAAAAACCAAACACCGCATGTTCTCACTCATACGTGGGAATTAAACAATGAGAACACATGGACACAGGAAGGGGAACATCACACACCGGAGACTGTTGTGGGGTGGGGGGAGGGGGGAGGGATAGCATTAGGAGATATACCTAATGCTAAATGATGAGCTAATGGGTGCAGCACACCAACATGGCACATGTGTACATATGTAACAACCTGCACGTTGTGCACATGTACCCTAAAACTTAAAGTATAATAATAATAAAATTAAAAAGAAAACAAGAAATTAACAGACATACAATTTATCTTCGTGAATTATATTTACTAATGCACTCAATATCTAATACTGTTTTTTCTGCATTTGAAGGTGTTATTGGTCTTTAAGTCCATACTGTGGTCCCAGGAAATATGAGATTGTGTTGACTTTTGTCCTATAATTGGAGAAGAAGCAAAAAGGTGCGAAATTCCATTAGTCTCCCAATCATCAGCCTTTCTGAGTGTGTTGTGGAATTAAGAATAATGTTTATGGGTTGCCAGAGTATAAGATGTGCTCCCAAGGTACTGTTAAAAGCTCTTTTGAGCACAGTGGATTTCTGCCTCTGAATTATCGATGAGCCTCACTTCGGAAATCTTTGGTCATCTGCCATCTCTGCCCTTGGAATGACATTCTTTCAGTTGAGCCCTCATTTCATTTATAGAATAACAATTACTTTTAATTTTCACAATGAAGTTGCTGCAGATTTGTATTGTATTTCTGATTAACAGCCTTGTACCCCTTGTAAGGGTCAATGAAATTGGGAAATTATGCTAAAAAGCTGCTATATTTTTCTTGAAGGATAGCAACAGCTTTCTGTTAGTAACTTTGATTTTATTTTATGTTTACTATAAGTATTAACTTAAATGTAGCTTTTTACAGAAAAATATTCTTGTTTCTAAAAAATAGAGTTAGCATTATTGATATGGTTAAAATGAGTACCTTAGTTTGCCTCCTGGGATAACATAGAGCATAGCTTGTTGATTTTCTTTATTTTTATTTTTTTAGTTTCCCACCTATCTCTCTGATCTTTCTTCTTGTTCCCTTTTGGAGATGTATCTTTCTCTGTCCATCTTTAAAATATTGGTTATTCTTAAGATACTGTTCTTGACCTTCTTTTTTTTCTCGCTAAAACTGCTTTGCTCTCCTTGAATACTCTTATCCATTATCATGACTTTAACTATCTGTTAAATCTGTACTTTGACCCGGATGTCTCTAATAAACTCCAAAACTATTTAGTTAATTCTTTATTTTTCGTCCACCTAAATATCCATCATGTTCAAAATTATATTCTTTTTTTAACTTTTGCTTTTAAATAATATCTTCCTTAGTTATTCCTCATATAATTGAGTGAAAACACTTTATATACAGCCACACAAAACAGAAGCCTGGGGAGCACACAAACCAGAAACCTGGGGAGCACCCCAGCTCTGCTTGGCTTCCTCACCACACACCAAGTCACTGAATGCTGATAATTACATTTCCTTCACATGTTCCATACCCATTCCCTCCAGCCTGTCCCCATGGATACCATCTCAATTCAGGTACTCACTGTCACTTGAAAATGCAGACTCTACAGATAGCTTGGGCTCACAGTATCCAATCTCATTCTTTTAAACAATCCTTCACATTAACCAAACATTAATCTTTGTAATAACATATCTTAGTCAAATCGTTCTACTCTTTATTTCCAATGAAGTCCAACAGAAGCTCATTTTTGAACCTCTTTCCCAGTATTATTATTGGTTTTATTGCTGTGCCCTCCTTATACCTTAAGGTGCATCCTGGTGTGTCTTTTTTTCTTGTGGTTACTTCTTTATTATTCTTACTCAGTTTTACAATTTTCACTGAAATCTCTTAACTCCTCCATGCAAAGTCAAAGCCTTCCTAGATTGGACCTAATTCCTCCGGTACCAATGGGAAAATAACTTATAATCTTCTAAATCTCCAGACTCAGATGTCACTTCAGGCATAATTGAATAGGTGAGGTCCAGCCTGGCATGTCTTCCTGAAGAGTGTCTAAACTTTCCATCCACAGCAAAGCCTTTCCCTATCCACTTTCAGAAGGATCTACCCCACCTTTCCTTGCTGCCTGCAGTATACTGTGCACACGTGTATCCCAGGTCCTACACCGCTTATTTGCATGGCTCACTTGTAGGCAGACCGTAAACTCTTGGAAGATGGAGACAGTATCTCACTAGTGTTTGCTTTTCCAGTGTCTAGGATGATCCCACACAGAGCAGATGCTCAATAAATGTAAATTGAATGAGCGAATTAATAAATGAATGATTAATTATTCAGTATCTACACATGGATAATTGTGGATATAAAATATCTATATGTAGATAATATATGAATAATTGAAAAGCATCCTGGCAATATTTTATTTAGTCCTCCAGTTTTAGGTAGTTAGTAAGCTTACTTTATTTTTGTTAAGTGCTTCAGCTATTTTTTCTAACCACTGTCCATAGTTACAAAACTTTTCTTGTTATTCTTCCAGAGATTTCAGGACAAATATTCATTGAGCTTCTTTATTCTGTGCATAGAAATACACCTGCTTTGAAACCTTTATAGTCTGTGAGCCAAAATGATAGGCATATTTCCGAGTCTCCCCTGTTAGCTCACACATTAACAACCTACATCTCTCTGGAGTAAAGAACCCAGTGTGTTCTGACAAACGAGATTTGGATGTTTCTCTCTAAAATGTTGCCCAACCAGCAAACACACACACACACACACACACACACACACACACAGATATATACATAATACATATACACATAAGGGACGTACACATAAAGGGGATAATCAGAAACATTTTCAAGGCATCCTCTGTCTATGCTTTATTATGTGAATATAAACACAGCCCTTACACCTGAGGCATCATTATATCAAAAGTTTTGTTGAACTTTAGGAGTATATCATAGTAAAGGTGAAGGTGTGAGTTACACATTTGCTGCCCTTGAAACACCAGGGCTTCTCCCATGACACCTCTTCAAGGCCAGCCTTACTCTGGCTTCTGTCTTCTCTTATTTCCTACACCCTATATCAAATCTCAGGTACTATGTGGAAAGGCCTCAATCTTTCTCACCACAGTGTGGGAGGGTTGATAGAAGTATTTTTTTTCTAATCTATCAATACCAAGTTAGAATTAACTAAGAAGGAGAAGATTTTCAAGCATTTATGACAGAAGCATGATGCTCTGCCTCCTCCAAGCTCCATTTAATCCATCCAGGGCAAGACTGAGATCCACGAACTTATCACAATCCAAATACTTACGGGGTGTAATTTGCAATGTGGCCCCTGGAGAATGCATGCTCTTGTTACTACAAGAGTTTTATGTGTAGAGATCCAGCTGGTTATTAAGCCATCACCTGCCAGCTTTTTTTTTTCTGAATGCCCATCCCCAGGGCCCAGAGAAATGGAGACAGGAGGATAAACTACTTTTGTTTGTTCTGGTAGACACAGAGTCTGACTGCTGTGTATCCTGTTTCCCTTAGGGACTCTACCTTGTCCTCAGGGACAATCCGTGAAGGCTTGAGTGGAGATAACCCCACCATAAAACCTATACTGCTGGTGTTCCCAGAGAGCAGGCTGCAGTCTGCATCAGCCTATGCTAAGAAAAGAGAGACAACTCCTGCATCTGGAAATTCCTTCTCTCAGGGGCTGCTGGTGGGAGCAAGATCCTCAGCTCTGGCCTTCAAAAGCTCCTGTGATCTCTGCACAATTTCTCTAAATAGAATTATATTTCTGAGACAAGACCAGGCCTGATACCACAGTGAGTAAAGGGTCTTTTGCAAAGTCTGGTAGTTTAGAGAAGCTAGGGTCTGGATGAAGGCAGGGCTCCAGAAATCAGTACATTGAATGGGAGATACAGAGGTAATTTATTGGCAGACAGTTTCCTGGGCTAAAGGTGGAGTTAGCATTTGCAGAGGTGGAGTCATAAGCTGCACATTGAGAATGACGCATTGATCATTTAACATTTGTGTACTTCTATGAAACATCCTGGTTTCCCCTTTCTATAGCCCCTGTGGCTATGTGGTTGGGGGAATGACAAGCAGAGAAAATTTAAGAAGAGTCTGAAGACTTGATTGAAATCTAGGATATGCTCTTTGAATGTTATTCCTAACGTAATGCCTTTCATTCGTCCATCCATCCATCCATCCATCAATTCATCCAACAAGTGTAGTGGGCATTGTGCCAGCAACAGCACCTGGTAAGAACCAGGGAAGCAGCCCTGCAAAGGGGTGGGGTGAAGGCAGGAATCAGAATATTATCCTGTTAACTCTTCACATAGATAACCACTTGCCCTGGCCATATATCAGAAATGACTTCAGTGAATGCTTGCTGGATTAGTGATGGCAAACTTTCTTGGCTTGCATGCAAAGGGAAACAGCCAGATTTTCCTGAGTTGCTTCAGGAAGTAAAACATTTAATGCAAGCTTTATTTTCCCTAAAACTAGTAAACACAGGGAAGGAAACCTCTTTGAAATTGCATTTGTAAACCTCATTTCCTAATTCATGCTTTTACGTATTTTCTCTAATCATTTACTGGAGCACCTGCATGTGCAATGCACTCTGCACAAATTACAAAATAATTGAAAACCAAATATGGAAGAGAAAGTGGGGGAAAATATGCAAAGTAAATAAATTAGAAAGTAAAACACATAAGAACATGGCTGTGATCCTTACTCTAAAATAAAATGGCTAGCCATTCTGAAAAACAACTTACTCTGTGGCTGCCCTTCTGATAGCAAAAATGTGGGTCTTGCAATCCAAGTTAAGTAAAATTCTGTGGGACTGGATATAGTATACATCACCCTGTCTGCATTTACACTAGTTCTCTGAACCAAATTTATTTTCTGCTTTACTCTGGATTAAAGGATTTGGCATAATGGCTCCGAAAAACCTTGCTGACTGAGTCAGCACCCTGTGTGCACCATAAACCCCCTCCTTCTGTTAACTGACTAATCCGGATCTGCATTTGCTCCTCAGCACATAGCTCATTGCCACAGCAGAGTCCAACGCAGGTACTGTCACAAGGGCATGACAAAAAATCAGACATGGGTCACAGAATTCATTCTCCTGGGATTTCCACTCAGCCTAAGGATTCAGATGCTCCTCTCTGGGCTTTTCTCCCTGTTATACGTCTTCACCCTGCTGGGAAATGGGGCCATCCTGGGGCTCATCTGGCTGGACTCCAGACTGCACACCCCCATGTACTTCTTTCTCTCACACCTGGCCATCATTGATATTTCGTATGCTTCCAACAATGTCCCCAAGATGCTGACAAACCTTGGCTTGAACAAGAGAAAAACAATCTCCTTTGTCCCATGCACAATGCAGACCTTTTTATACATGGCTTTTGCTCACACTGAGTGTCTCATCTTGGTAATGATGTCCTACGATCGGTACATGGCTATCTGCCACCCTCTGCAATATTCTGTCATCATGAGATGGGGAGTGTGCACAGTCCTGGCTGTCACTTCTTGGGCATGTGGTTCCCTTCTGGCCCTGGTCCATGTGGTTCTCATCCTGAGGCTGCCCTTCTGTGGGCCCCATGAAATCAACCACTTCTTCTGTGAAATCCTGTCTGTCCTCAAGTTGGCCTGTGCTGACACCTGGCTCAACCAGGTGGTCATCTTTGCTGCTTCAGTGTTCATCCTGGTGGGGCCGCTCTGCCTGGTGCTGGTCTCCTACTCGCGCATCCTGGCGGCCATCTTGAGGATCCAGTCTGGGGAGGGCCGCAGAAAGGCCTTCTCCACCTGCTCCTCCCACCTTTGCATGGTGGGACTCTTCTTTGGCAGCGCCATTGTCATGTACATGGCCCCCAAGTCCCGCCACCCTGAGGAGCAGCAGAAGGTCCTTTCCCTGTTTTACAGCCTTTTCAACCCGATGCTGAACCCCTTGATCTATAGCCTGAGGAACGCAGAGGTCAAGGGTGCCCTGAAAAGAGTGTTGTGGAAACAGAGATCAAAGTGAGGGATGCCAGGGAAAGTCTAGAGGGTTGAAGATTTGCTCCCAATGAGATTTGTAGGAACAGTGGTGTAAATGCCTTACAGTCTCATCTCTTAGATTTCTGATATCAAGAATGTATATTGATTGGATTCTATCCCTAAACGTGGAGTACCATGCAGATCACAAAGCACATGCAGACAGGCGCTGAGCCGTGTGGTGCAGCAGAGGTGCAAAGTGCCATGAACTCCTACTCCCAGGTCCCACCCCTACCCAGGATCTGCTTTCTGTTCTTTTGAGGCTTAGTTCTCTCAAGCTTCCTCTTAAATTCCTCTATTATTTCCATCTCTTTTTGCCATAAGTATATGCTGGTAATCCCATACCATATGCTACTATAAGAGAGTACTTGTAATCACACAGAATAAATACTGACCTTGGTTAAGCAGCCCTCTACTGGGAATGTAACAACAACTAAGAGTATAGAAAATGCCTGGTTTGGAACCTAAAGCCTAAGGATGATGATATTAGTACTGGAAGTTCATCTAAATCACCCTAACAAATCTAATTCTGTAAAAAGCAAAGTTTAATTGTATAGATTTTTTTATATAAAAGGCAGAGAAATATCAGGATCTTTGTTTCATTTCACTTAATTCTGCACCATTTAATTAGAAAGAGTTTGGAAAGATTTTGCATTTAAAATAAATATGAGAGAATGTTATTAGGGATAGTTACCTTTTTCATAATTCAGATCGCAAAGCCGGGTGTAGGTGACAATTTATCATTACGGTGATTACATAAAATATTGTAGTAGTAAGAAAATACTGCAAAGGAAGAAAGCATCAAGGGAAACTGACAGCTTGATGTAACATCATAGACCACCGCTTAGAACCAAGAACATGTCAAGTCTTGATAAAGACTTTCAGGAACCTCAACAAAATTCCAAAGAGAAGCTATTCCAGGTGACATAAATCACTTTTCCTGGACCCAAGTGGTCAGAATGACATGGACAGGTAATTTGTTTTATTTTAACACAAGTCTGAGTCCTAAATGATCAGCATAATATGATAATATGATTTCTTTAACACATTGAGTATGGTACCTTTTGGAATTCTCTCTTTTTTCTCTCAACCCTTGTAGTATTGTGTGAATTCAACTGTATGACCCATGATGTTATTACATTATCTGCTGCCTGTACCTTTTCTATTTTTACAATTTTAAAATATATTCTTATCACTTCATATATTTCTTCTTCCATGAAAGAAAGAAGCAAAGGGGGAACTCTTTCCTCCCACCCCCTCTCCAAATGCACTGTTTTCTTTTCAGTTCTCAAAAAGCCTAGTTGCTGACTATTCTGCTCATCCATTCATCTCGGTTAAACATTCTGCCTCTGGTGATGGTCTTTGTTTTCATATCTCCATACTGTGAGGACATTTTTTGGCCTGCAGAAATTCACAAACCTTGCTCTGCCCCTCCCAAAGAGAGCAATTTGAATTTAAAAAAAAATACTGGATCTAAATTTAACTATCAACCACTATGGAATTATTGTGTGCACTACTCTGAAGCTAGAAAGAGAAAACAGGCAGTATTTTCATATAGAAAGGACTTTCTAACTATATCTGAAAAAAATTATTACATTCCCTAAAATATGTATACTTCATGTTCTGCTTAAAACCTTTAAAAGAAAAGGGAAAGAGGAAACATATAGAATAGTTCATCTCATATAAAACATAAGCAATAGATTTGGATTCAGAATTTTTTTACCTAGGGTACAGTGGAAAAATCAGGGGGTATAATTCATCCTATGTCAGTTCTAAGTGATTGGGAAAGAATAGACCAAAAAGACTACATTTCTACAGAAAGTGACAAATATAGATAAATTATAAAGAAATGTTCTCTAGCAGGTCTTAATAGTGGCTCTAATTTTATATATATATATATATTGAATACATTACAGAAAATACCTGAGTATATGAAAAATTTCTATTAATTGTTTCCATATTTGAGTTGTAGGATTTTAACAAACTAATTAAATGTTGGTGTTATGACCGCTTTATATATACATATTTTCAACATTAATCAGTTTTTAAAGGTCTGGGGGAAAGTGAAAGAAACAATTGCATTGTTTTAGGCTGCAAGTTCTACTGACTGCTTCACAAATGTTACCCCGTTTATCTTGCATAAACATCACAATGGAGTCGCTATTATTTTCTCCACTTAATAGATAAGTAAACAAAGTTCAGAATGATTTAATAACTTATCCTATACTATGCAACCAGTAATAGAACTGAGTGTTATGGATCGTACTGATTGCAAACCCAAGCTGCTTCTTAGCAGCTTTCTGCCCAAAACATTACAAATTTTAGCTCAACAGGGGTTAGACTCAACATCCACATGATGGGGCAGAGTCTGGAACAAAACGGAGTTTACAGTATTATAGCCAAAGTCTTAACACCAGAAAGAATACATCCTGTAGCCAACCCATCTTTGGAGGATTCATTACCACCTTTGGGAAGAGTAGAAACACTCACATTAGCAGCATCATCATTTTCCAATAGTAACTCCCTCCTAATGCCTGTCTGCAAAATCACATGGCCTCATAAGGCATTGCCCCAAAGGGACAATCTGAACGAGAGACACCCTGCTGTTCTCAGTGATCATCTTACCTATGATTCTGGTCTTCTTTCTATCATTAGGTGTACCCACCTGTGTTCTTTACCTTTATGATGTGATTAATGCTTTTCCAGGAAGTGTCCCCATCTCTCCTGTGTACAGATCCGTGATGGACCTACCTTACCAGTGCTCTAGGCTGCTAGGACTGAGAAAGGGGGAACCCAGCACAGGTGCAAGCTGAGATGCTTGCTATGTTAGATTCACATCTCAATTGTGCTACAACTTGCTAAATAGGTCTGCTTCTAGGAATAATATAGCCTCCTCAATCCTGAGTTTTATTTTAGGTCAGATGTGGCTAACAAGGTTTCAGCTAGGTGCCTTATATAACTTTTATGAATGCTAAATGAAAGACTTTATGTGACTCTGATTTGAAGTGATGTATTTTTGTGAGAAGGATATAAGGACAATGAAAATGAAAAATGATTACATAGTAAGACTAAGAGCTGGTAAAATTCATGACTAAACAACTATAAAACTACAAAATCCAATTTTATTTTAATGATTCATAAATTATTATGATACTTACTGAACAATGGAAGTTTCTCAAAAAATCTCAGCTCTTTGTGTTTGCAACTTTCTGTGCCTGTCTTTGTTTTTATTTGGTTGGTGATATTGGGGAAGGTCTCCACCAAAGGAGGTTGAAGGTTAGTACACAGGAGGTTGGGTATGAAATGGTGTTCATTGTTCCTGCTAGTAGACAAAACTGTAAGAAGAATCCTACATAAAATTTTACATTCTCTATATAGCTTCAATTCGAAAAGGATTCTTGAGATAGCATCCAGATAGGAAATATATACAAAAATAATTAGTCCATAGCTTTGTTACGTTCATTCTCCTACCCACACACTAAGAATTCTCATCAACTGTGTATCTAGAATAGCTCCTCTAGGAAATCTCAGTCTCTGTATGTAGAGATAGAAACTCACCCTGGTGACACCTTGTTAGTTGGCTGAAATTTTGGCACTCATAGTAGCCAACTCCTTATATTGGTCTCCCTGGCCTTACTATTGCCCTGGATACTAATCATATTAGGAAAGAAATATATAGATGAGCAAATAAATGAGTGCATAGCCATAAATAATTTTTGAAATGACTGTGTTTCCATAGCCCGGAAAAAAGGAGGAATAAAGCAAACAGGATAATTGTCTTCATATGTCCCATCGAGAATCTTGCAGGAGGCAAACATAGTTGTTTATTGCCTTCCACAAAGTGGGGAAAAATACCCTAGAATCAAAAAGTAGGTTTACATAAAAGTGGAATTAACATCAATATGAGAAAATATTTTTGAACATTATAAGTTATGCAACAATGAGGTCTTGTGAATTATTGTGCAGCCTTACTATAAATAGAAACATAAAGGTTGAGTAAAATATAAATACGTTGAACAGGCATTTGCAATAGAGTCTTTCCAATGTCTCTTCAATCTTGAAAATTTAAGATTTCATAATAAACTTTTTCATCTTTTTAATGAGGGGCGGAGTTTAACCTGATTTTAAACAAACTTACAGTCATTTAAAGATTTTTAAATGGTAATTCTAAGATAATCTTTTTTCTGTCAAAATCCCGTCTTGTTCTTCCGAGGATTCAGCAGAGTCATCAAAAGAAAATATTCAAGTAGGAAAAAATTGTTGTATAAGCTTCATACTTGTGGTTCTCATACTTTTATTCCCACAATGCCATCACAACTTTATTTCTAGATATACATGGTTTCACATTTTAAAATATTAGCCTGATATTCAGTGATAGTGGCTCAATGACTTTTGCCTTAAACACAGGCACAGGGGCTTGCACATGTAATCCCAAAAACTGAAGAGATTGAGGTGGGAGGATCGCTTGAGCCCCGTAGTTTGAGGCTGCAGTGAGCTATGACCATGCTACTGCATTCCAGCCTGGGCAACAGAGTGGGACCCCATCTTTGAAAAAACAAACAAACAAACAAACAAAAAACCCCACAGAGCAGTGACAGATTAAACCACAAGGAGAGGAAATGAAAAAGACAAAATTAGCCCCCAAGGCAAGATAAACATCTCTGTGGATCAGAAACAAAACATAAAATCAGATGTGTGAGTGATGCAGAAGCCACGGGTTAGCCGACTGTTTGTAAGCTGGCCTGAGTGGAGATAGCTTTGCTCTTAGGAACTAAATATATTAAAGTTCTTCATGCAATAATGGGGAACTGAGGCTTAGCACCTTCCTTGAAAATAAGGTATGGAGGAGGGTGGGAGGGACTGACTTCCTTTGCTTACTAATGAAGACCAAAAAATGTACTGTGCTGTACTGCTTCCCTATGTAGCTAGCTGAAGACTTGTGAGAACCCAGGCCCTGCGCTGCAACCAAATGTGGAATCCAGACACCCACTCTGGGTGCTGGGATTCCCAATATACTCAGTCTCACTATAGGTACATAATTCTAAACCATTTACGTAAGATCCAGGTCTGGATAGGAAGCCCAAAGAGCTGGGCCAAGACAACCCCTGAGCTTCTAGATGAGAGAAGAGGGAGGGAGAGAGACAGACAGAGAGAAATGGAGAGAGAACTGGGTTTTTAAATCTATTTTCAGAAGCTGCCAAGAGAAGCAGCCCAAAATATCAACAACTGGAAAATAAATTCACTTCTGATGATGTCCCTTGTGCATGTTCAGGAATGAACAATTGATAAATATTTATGTTTATGTTTAAATGCATAAAAGATTTCTTAAAGATATGCTAACTATTTTAGATGGCCAGGGATTAAGACGGAAAATAATTAGAAAATAACAGATGGATCCCAAAAGATAACAATTACAGAGCTTAGAAATAAAACACGCATTCCCTGAAATAAGGACTAACTCTTGTTTTTTTTTTTTTTTTTTTTGAGACGGAGTCTCGCTCTGTCGCCCAGGCTGGAGTGCAGTGGCACAATCTCGGTTCACTGCAAGCTCTGCCTCCTGGTTTCATGCCATTCTCCTGCCTCAGCCTCCCGAGTAGCTGGGACTACAGGCGTCTGCCACCATGCCCGGCTAATTTTTTGCATTTTTAGTAGAGACGGGGTTTCACTGTGTTAGCCAGGATGGTCTCGATCTGCTGACCTCGTGATCCACCCACCTCGGCCTCCCAAAGTGCTGGGATTACAGGCGTGAGCCACCGCGCCCGGCCAACTCTTCTTAAATATGAAAAAAATTCAACTAACAGGATAAATTCTAGATGGAGTACATTATGGGAAAAAATGTGAAATAGAACATGGAATGCATAATTTTCCCAAAATGCAACAGAGACTATTTTTTAAGAAAATGGAATAAAAAGCACATAGAATCTAGACTCAGATATAATATCTATTTATTTTATAAGGACGTAAAAATAATGATGAAAATAGGATAGGACATTATTGCTGAAATTTTTTTCCTGATGGCTAAACACATGAATTCTCAGAACAAAAGATACTCTGAGTATCAAGCTACATGAATAAAAATAAATTAATATCTAGACATATCATAATGAAAGCACAGAACATTAAGGAGGAAAAGAAAATAATAAAACCTTCAGAGAATAAAAGAATAGCTACAAAAGAATAACAAATAATAGTGGACTTCCCCTCAGCAAAACAGATGCCAAAAGAGAATATTCAAAAGGATTAGGAAAACTGTTACTCTACAATTTCACACACAGTTAAACTGTAATTCAAGAAAAAGAGAAAAATGAAAATGTTTTCAAACAAAGTCTAAGGAAAATTACCTCCCTTAGGTCTTCAACAGAATTATTAATAAATATATTGGATAGAAAAAAAGATGAAAACAGAATAAAAGTATATAGGGTACATGCGAAGCATACGAGTTGATAAAGAATAATAGTAAATATAATTGTTGAATGTAAACAAAATAGCTTTTTATATGAAATAATAAAAGCTCTTAGCAGCTGTAACAGGTTGATGTAAATAATACCAATGAATAATTAAATCACGGTAAAGCTCTTGACTTGACTAGAAAGGTGAAAATGCTGAATAATTGTAGATTGCATTAGAAAAATTTATAATTTAGTGTGTGTTAAAAATTCAAAAGTAGATCACATTTGCCATCTTTGAGCCCCCCACCTCTGCTGCAGTTGTAGCAGGCAATACGTCTGTCATCCACTCCTCAGTGGCTTCACCAGCCTTTCAGCCAGATACAAGGCTGTTGTCCTAGTGATTACAGCCACATGAGTCACTGGTCAGCTCAGCGGCTATCCCGACCTGCTGCCTGACTCCCATAATCTTCACCCATTTATGAGTGAGAACATGCAATATTTGTCTTTCTGTGCCTGGCTTGTTTCACTTAAGATAATGATCTCTAGTTTCATCCATCTTGTTGTAAAATACATAATTTCATAGTTTTTTAATGGCTGAATAGTATTCCATTACATATGTATAATACTTTTTTTTATACTTTCATTTATTGATGGACACATGTTGTATTAGTCTGTTCTCATGCTGCTAATAAAGACATACCTGAGACTGGGCAATTTATTTTTAAAACAGGGTTTAGTTGACTCACAGTTCAGCATGGCTGAGGAGGCCTCAGGAAACTTACAATCATGGCGGAAGTGGAAGCAAACACATCCTTCTTCACACGGTGGCCAGAAGAACTGCCAAGCAAAGCAGGGAAAGCCTTTTAAAAAACCATCAGATCAGCCTGGCATGGTGACTCACACCTGTAATCCCAGCACTTTGGGAGGCCGAGGTGGGTGGATCGCGAGATCAGGAGTTCAAGACAAGCCTGGCCAATATGGTGAAACCCCATCTCTTCTAAAATACAAAAATTACCGGGCATGGTGGCACGTGCTTGTAGTCCCAGCTACCTGGGAGGCTGAGGCAGAAGAATCGCTTGAACCCAGGAGGCGGAGGTTGCAGTGAGCCGAGATTGCACCACTGCACTCCAGCCTGGGTGACAGAGAGAGACAGACTGTCTCAAAAATAAAAAAATAGCATAAAATAAATAAAAATCAGATCTCGTAAGAATTCACTCACTATTATGAGAACAGCAGCATGGGAGTAACCACCCCCATGATTCAATTACCTCCCACCAGGTCCCTCCCACGACAGAGGGGATTATAGGAACTACAATTCATGATGAGACTTGGGTGGGGACACAGCCAAACCATAACATTTCACCCTTGGCTCCTTCCAAATCTCATGACCTCACATTTCAAAACCAGTTGGCCTTTCCAATAGTCCCCCAAAGTCTTAGCTTATTCTAGCACTAACCCAAAAGTCCAAGTCCAAAGCCTCATCTAAGACAAGGCAAGTTTCTTCTGCCTATGAGCCTATAAAAATCAAAAGCAAGTTAGTTATTAATACTTCCTAGATACAATGAAGGTACATGGATTGGGTAAATACACTCATTCCAAATGGGAGAAATGGGCCAAAACAAAGGGGCTACAGGTCCCATGCAAGTCTAAAATCCAATATGGCAGTCGTTAAACCTTAAAGTTCCAAAATTATTTTCTTTGACTCCATGTCTCACATCCAGGTCACGCTCATGCAAGAGATGGGCTCCCATGGCCTTAGGAAGCTCTGCCCCTGTGGCTTTGCAGGGTACAGCCCTCCAACTCAGCTGTTTTCATGGAGGCTTTGGGTGTCTGTGACTTTCCCAGGCACAAGGTGCAAGCTGTCAGAGATGAGGCACTTGTCGGGGACTGGACTAAACGTGACTCTTGCTATGCTTTATCAAAGAGACTGGTGGCATTTTGCCCCTGCCCTAGAGATCTGTGGAACTCTGAACTTGAGAGTGATGATTTAGGGTATCTGGCAGAAGAAATTTCTAAGCAGCAAAGCATTTAAGATGTGATGTGGGTGCTGTTAAAAGCATTCAGTTTTATGTATTCACAAGGATATGGTTTGGAATTGGAACTTATGTTTAAAAGGGAAAGAGAGCATAAAAGTTCAGAAAATTTGCAGTATGACAATCCAATAGAAAAGGAAAACCCATTTTTCTGGTGAGAAATTCAAGCCCACTGCAGAAATTTGCGTAAGTGACAAGGAACCAAATGTTAATCACCATTTGGGGATTATGTCTCCAGGGCAGTGAGAGGTCTTAATGGCAGCCACTCCCATCATAATCCCAGAGGCCTAGGAGAAAAAAAAAGTTTCCTGGGCCAGGCCCAGGGCCTTGCTGCTTTCTTCAGTCTTGGGACTTGGTGTCCCACTTCCCAACCATGGCTAAAAGGGGCATACACAGAGTTCAAGCTATTGCTTCAGAGGGTATAAGCTCCAAGCTTTGGTGGCTTACATGTAGTGTTGAGCCTGTGGGTGCACAGAAGTCAAGAACTGAGGTTTGAGAACATCCACCTAGATTTCAGAGGATGTATGGAAATGCCTGGATGTCCAGGCAGAGGTGTGCTGCAGGGGCAGATCCCTCATGGAGAACCTCTGCTAAGGCAGTGTGGAAGGGAAATGTGGGGTTCAAGCCCTAATACAGAGGCCTCATTGGGGCACTGCCTACTGAAGTTCCTCCAGAACCCAGAATGGTAGATCCACAGAGAGCTTGCACCATGTGCCTGGAAAAGCCACAGACACTCAATGCCAGCACATGAATGCACCCAGGAGAGGGGCTGTACCCTGCAAAACCACAGGGTCAGAGCTGTCTGAGACCATGGGAACCCACCCCTTGCATCAATGTGACCTGGATATGAGACATAGAGTCAAAGGAAATCATTTCAGAGCTTTAAGATTTGACTGCCCTGCTGTTGTGGGAAGTCAGGAACACCAAACAGATGGACCAGCTGAAGCCATCTCAAAAGAACATAAATTGTGAAGATTTCATGGACATTTATTAGTTCTCCAAAATTAATAATTTTGTAATTTCTTATGCCTGTCTTTACTGCAATCTCTGAACATAAATTGTGAAGATTTCATGGACACTTATCACTTACCCAATCAATACCCTTGTGATTTCCTATGCCTGTCTTTACTTTAATCTCTTAATCCTGTCATCTCGTAAACTGAGGAGGATGTATGTCGCCTCAGGACCCTGTGATGATTGCATTAACTGCAAAAATTGCTTGTAGAGCATGTGTGTTTGAACAATATGAAATCTGGGCACCTTGAAAAAAGAACAGGATAACAGCAATGTTCAGGGAACAACAGAGATAACATTAAACTCTGACCACCGGAGAGCCGGGCAGAACAGAGCCATATTTCTCTTCTTTCAAAAGCAAATGGGAGAAATATCACTGAATTCTTTTTCTCAGCAAGGAACATCCCTGAGAAAGAGAATGTGTCCCTGAGGGTAGGCCTCTAAAATGGCCCCCTTGGGTGCGGCCATCTTCTATGGTCAAAACTGTAGGGAAGAAATAAGCCCCAGTCTCCCATAGCACTCCCAGGCTTATTAGGATGAGGAGATTCCCGCCTAATAAATTTTGGTCTGACCGGTTGTCTGCTCTCAAACCCTGTCTCCTGATAAGATGTTATCAATGACAATGCATGCCCAAAACTTCATTAGCAATTTTAATTTCGCCCTGGTCCTGTGGTCCTGTGATCTCGCCCTGCCTCCATTCGCCTTGTGATATTCTATTACCTTGTAAAGCATGAGATCTCTATGACCCACACCCTATTCATACACTCCCTCCTCTTTTGAAAATCACTAATAAAAACTTGCTGGTTTTACGGCTCAAGGGGCATCACAGAACCTACCGACATGTGATGTCTCCCCCAGACGCCCAGCTTTAAAATTTCTCTCTTTTGTACTCTGTCCCTTTATTTCTCAACCCAGCTGATGCTTAGGGAAAATAGAAAAGAACCTACGTGACTATCAGGGGCAGATTCCCCGATACCCTGCTAGAGTTTGGACTTGCATGGGGCTTGTAGCCCCTTTGTTTTGGCCAATTTCTCCCATTTGGAATGGTTGTATTTACCCAATGCCTGTACCCCCATTGTATCTAGGAAGTAACTAACTCACTTTTGATTTTACAGGCTCATAGGCAGAAGGGATTTACCTTGTCTCAGATGAGACTTTGGACCGTGGACCTTTGAATTAATGCTGAAATAAGACTTTGGGGGACTGTTGGAAAGGCATGATTGGTTTTGAAATGTGAAGACATGAGATTTGGGAGGGGCTGGGGAAGAATAATAGGGTTTGGCTGTGTCCCCACCCAAGTCTCACCTTGAATTGTAATAATCCCCACATGTCAAGAATGGTGGCAGGTGGAGATAATTGAATCATGGGGCAGTTTCCCCCATAGTGTTCTCATGGTAGTGAGTAAGTCTCAGGAGATCTGATGGTTTTATACATGGGGGTTTCCCCTGCACACTCTCTTGCTCTCTTGCCAGCCACCACGTAAGATGTGCCTTTGCTCTTCCTTCACTTTCTGCCATGATTGTGAGGCCTCCCCAGCCATGTGGAACTGTGATCCATTAAACCTCTTTCCTTTATAAATTACCCAGTCTCAGGTATGTTTTTATTAGCAGTGTAAGAACCGATGAAAACACCCACATTATTCTGTCTTCTGAGCTATTCAAACTGTTGCAACCTCTGCCTGTTACCCAATTCCAAAGTCACTTCCACATTTTTGGGTATCCTTATAGCAGTGTCCCACTCTCTGCTGCACCAATTTACATGTTGGTACCATATCTTTGCTATTGTGAATAGTGCTGTGACAAACATGAATGCAGTAATCTTTTTGATACATTAATTTATTTTCTTTCAGGTAGATACCCAGTATTGGGATTGCTGGATTGAATAATAGTTTTGTTTTTAGTTGTTTAAGAAATCTTAAAGGTTGGGAAGTTTAAAGTTCAAGGCATTAGAGTATCTTTATGCACTGGTGACATTGCACCTTTAAATTTCTGGTACCACAGTGGGTAACACCAGACTGGCTGGCCTAAATTCCATTCTGCATTCTTGGAGTGAGCTATGGAGATACTGACCTTGAATTCACACAGTTTGCTCACAGGCTCAGAATGCTCCACTCCTACTCCATCACTGAGGGCTCAGAATTTTTTAATGACATAGTTGTCCCTTCAATGTAAGATATCCAAATTATAGATTACACAGGAAAATATGGAATATTTTATTAATATACATGTAAAATGAGTCAAAGTAACTCCCGAGAAGATATATCCCTTATTTTGTTTAATGAAGGAAATGACCAATAGAAATTACCGTAAACCCAGAGAATAAGAAAGCAATTTTAAAAACATGTACCTGGAAAGCTCTGTCTGTATCTGGAGATCAGGTTTGCTTAGATACTCAAAGTGCAATTAAAGTGGTTTGAAAATTCAAAGCAGCTTTAGAGTACCATTATAGGAGCACTGGAAAAATAAAATGATATAAAAGAAAATTAGTAAGCTAGACAAAGGGAGACACTTCCTTACGAGAAAGCTTAATATCTTAGAAGAAGGATTCGGTAAATACAAAAGAGGAAAAAAGTGGTGCCCATGGTAATGGTTCTTAAAGTTTTCGTTTTTAAAAAGAGATGTTTTTGTCATTGGTGGAACTGAAAAGGTAACGGGTAATCAAAGAGCAATTTGAGTGAAAGAGGCATGATCTTAGTGAGCAAATTAAAGTGCTGCCTCAGAAAGTGATATGATCCAGAAATTAGTAGATGGTGAAAAACACCTCCTGTATAGAAGGTCTATGATAACATCAGCCAGAAGTGCATACTGTGAGTCCTCTAGAGGTGGATACAATGAATATTAGGATTTTGTGTCAATTAAAAGGTAGCGACATCTTAGTATGTGGAAAGGCTAGTTGCATCATACCTAACTAAATCATAAAGTTGTTATTGTTTAGATGTTTAAATGTATATAAAAGTGTGTTTATAAATGCCAAGCTGCCAAAGGGGGATACTGTACTAATTCCTAAGTTACTGTCTTTCTGCTCCAAACTCATCCTTCCACTCTATGCTTAGTGGTAGCTGAAAGTCCCCAAATTACCTTTGCCTTTTGCCCGGATGACTTCCATTTAGGTTCTACCAATAGGGGGCGCTAGAGGAAACTGGGAGCGTTGAGAGGGCAAAAGAAACTTGCTCCTCCTACCTGTGTGCTTGCTGCTCTTTTTGGTGTTACCTCAACTCTTCACTTGGGCAGTTCCCAGAGTCAGCCTCATCACTCCCAACCTGGGGCCATAGTTTTAGTGGGGTTTGTGGGGGGCACTTTCTCCTCAGAGGTTGAAGTTCCCACACCGTCTCTCCTCTGAATCTGTAAATTGTAATCACTCTAACCTCTGTTCTTTCCTGACTCTGTCCTGTCTGTTCGTCTGAGAGCTTCTTTGTTGCTGCTTTCCTTCTTCAATGTTCATTTAACCACGTATTTATCTAAATTCTCCGTTGAAGTACCAGAGTGCTTTGTTTTCCTGGTGGATTCCTGCTGGTTCAAAAACAAGTTAGAAAAACATTTAGAAATTCGGGACAATTATTCAAGTAATTATAAAAAAAAATCTGGCCATGTATGGGAGTTTACAAACAGCATTAACATAAAATATTTTTTATCTGGTGTGTTGCAAAGCAATCTAGTTATTATAGTTTGGTGTATGCATTACTTGCATGCTGAATGAACATGCCAAAGAAATTTAGGAATTGACTGCCAAGCAAAGGCAAAATGATGATGAGCCAAAAAAGTGGGAGCCAGGGTTGACAATCTTATACCACCTCTTTATTAAACTAGCAGAGGGAGAGAACAAATATAAAAGCTAAGTAACAGGATGCTAAACACAAAACACAAATAATAGAAAGCCCAAATATCTCAATATTTACACTGAGAGAAAATTGATTATATTTTCCCATTTTCATATTGTATTGTATTTCATATTTTTAAGCCCATAAAATACAGTTATATATTATTTGTAAGACTAGCTAAAACACAATCACAAAGAAAGTCTGGGAATATGAGAATGAAGAACACAGCCTATGCAAATATTTAATAAGTTGATGCGGCAATATAAATACAAGCTGGATGTTTGCACTCATGTTTATATCAGGCAAATGCACTAATTGGTATGAAGAGTACTCCATAATAATAGAGGTAAAACTCTATCAAGAATATGTAACAATCATAAATATGTATATACAACAATATAACCTTAATGTAGAAATAGGAAAAAAAATAGAATTACACTGAAAAGATTACCAACTCAACTTCTTAGTGGGGGAATTAGAAAAATGCTCTCAGAAAATAATAGATAATCCTGACAAAAATTGGAAATAAAAACTACAAAAAATTTACATGCTTGATCAAACAGATATATAAAGATTCCTACATTCCCTAAAATAAAGCATATACATTAAAGTCAATATAACAATTGCAAAAAGTGAATATATACAAAACAAAAAAACCCCTCATATTTTCAAAGAATCAGTATCACAAGGATTCATTCTCTTACCACAGGTGATAATAAATGTAAAATTAACAACAGAAATGTAACAAAAATATTTGGAAACCTAAAAATGCACTTCTTCATAATTTGTCCTTTGAAGATGAAATCAACCATAATGAAAGTTCTAAATGTCAGACTTAAAATGTATGGCTAAAATGGTGGGGGAAAATAAATTTACAGCTAAAATTACATTTATTTTAAAAGTAAGATTTATAATAAGTTAAATATTCAACTCAGAAATATACAATGACCAAAAATTAAAATAAAAATAGTATATAATTTATATAAGAGCAAACGTTATTGGAAAAATAAAGAATGATAAACATTATTAAAATAGAATCTTAGTTCCTTTTTCAAAAAATACTAATAAAATAGACTGATCAGAAAAAAAGGGGAAAAGATGTGTATATAGAATATTAGGTACAAAAAGTTATAAAAACAAGATGTAGATTTTTTAAATGACAATAGAATGTTATAAGCAAAACTTATTTCAATAAATTTAAAAGATTTGAAGATATTCCAGTTCTCAGAGGGAATGCTTTCAACTTTTTCCCATTCAATATTATGTTGGCTGTGGGTTTGTCATAGATGGCCTTTTTTACATTAAGGTATGTCCCTTGTATGCCAATTTTGCTGACAGTTTTAATCATAAAGGGATGCTGGATTTTGTCATATGCTTTTTCTGCATCTATTGAGATCATGTGATTTTTGTTTTTAACTCTGTTTATCTGGTGTATCACATTTATTGACTTGCATATGTTAAACTGACCCTGCATCCCTGATATGAAACCCACTTAATCATGGTGGATTATCTTATTGATATGTTGTTGTATTCGTTTAGCTAGTATTTTGTTAAGGATTTTAGCATCTATGTTCATCAAGGATCTCGGTCTGTAGTTTTCTTTTTTGGTTATGTCCTTTCCTAGTTTGGGTATTAGGATGATGCTGGCTTCATAGAATGAATTAGGGAGGGTTCCTTCCTTCTTTACCTTGTGGAATAGTGTCAAAAGGATGGGTACTAATTCTTCTTTGAATGTCTAGTAGAATTCTGCTGTGAATCCATCTGGTCCTGGACTTTTTCTTGTTGGTAATTTTTAAATTACCATTTCAACCTTGCTGCTTGTTATTGGTCTGTCACTCTCACCACCCCTCTTCAACGTAGTACCGGAAGTCCTAGCCAGAGCAATCAGACAAGAGAAAGAAATAAAGGGCATCCAAATTGATAAAGAGGAAGTCAAACTGTCACGGTTTGCTGACTATATGATTGTTTACCTTGAAAACCGTAAAGACTCCTCCAGAAAGCTCCTTGAACTGATAAAAGAATTCAGCAAATTCTCTTTGGATACAAGATTAATGAACACAAATCAGTAGCCCTTCTATAGACCAACAGTGACCAAACAGAGAATCAGATGAAAAGCTCAGCCCCTTTTACAATAGCTGCAAAAAATAAAATAAAATACTTAGGAATATACGTAACCAAGGAGGCAAAAGACCTTTACAAGGAAAACTACAAAATACTGCTGAAAGAAATCATAGATGACACAAACAAATGAAACACATCCCATGTTCATGGATGGGTAGAATCAATATTGTGAAAATCACCATCCTGCCAAAAGCAATCTACAAATTCAGTGCAATTCCCATGAAAATACCACCATCATTTTTCACAGAATTAGAAAAAAAAATTATAAAGTTCATATGGAACCAAAAAAGAGTCCACATAGCCAAAGCAAGACTAAGCAAAAAGAATAAATCTGAAGCCATCACACTACCTGATTTCAAACTACATTATAAGGCCTTAGTCACCAAAACAGCATGGTACTGGTATAAAAATGGGCACATAGACCAGTGGAACAGAATAGAGAACCCAGAAATAAACCCAAATGCTTACAGCCAACTGATCTTCAACCAAGCAAACAAAAACATAAAGTGGGGAAAGGACACCCTTTTCAACAAATGGTGCTGGGATAATTGGCTAGCCACACGTAGTATAATGAAACTGGATACTCATCACTTATACAAAAAATCAACACAAGATAGATTAAGGACTTAAATCTAAGACCTGAAACTGTAAAAATTCTAGAAGAAAACATTGGAAAACCCTTCTAGACATTATCTTATGCAAAGATTTCATGACCAAAAACCCAAAAGTAAATGCAATAAAAACAAAGGTAAATATTTGGACTTAATCAAACTAAAGAGCTTTTGCATGGCAAAAGAAACAGTCAGCAGAGTAAACAGACAACCCACAGAGTGGGAGAAAATCTTCACAATCTATACATCTGACAGAGGACAAATATTCAGAATCTACAACAAACTCAAACAAATCAGTAAGAAAAAACACACAATTCCATCAAAAAGTGGGATAAGAACATGAATAGACAAGTCTCAAAAGAAGACATACAAATCGCCAACAAACGTGAAAAAATCTTCAACATCACTAATGATCAGGGAACTGCAAATCAAAACCACAATGTGATACCACCTTACTCCTGCAAGACTGGCTATAATAAAAAACTCAAAAAACAGTAGATGTTGGCATGGATGCGGTGACCAAGGAACACTTCTACACTGCTGTGAATGTAAACTAGTACAGCCACTATGGAAAACAAGTGTGGAGATTCCTTAAAGAACTAAAAGTAGAACTACCATTTGATCCAGCAATCCCATTACTGGGTATCTGCCCAGAGGAAAAGAGGTCATTATATGTAAAAGATACTTGCATATGCATGTTTACAGCAACATAGTTTGCAATTGCAAAATCGTGGAACCAACACAAATGCCCATCAATCAACGAGTGGATCAAGAAACTGTGTGTGTGTGTGTGTGTGTGTGTGTGTGTGTGTGTGTGTGTGCATATAAAATAGAATACTACTCAGCCATAAAAAGAAATGAATTAACGGCATTTGCAGTGACTTGGATGAAATTGGAAACTATTAATCTGATTGAGGTAACTCAGGAATGGAAAACTAAACATTTTATGTTCTCACTGATATATGGGAGCTAAGATATGAGGATGCAAAGGCATAAGAATGATACAATGGACTTTGGGGACTAGGGGGAAAGAGAGGGATGGGGACGAGGGATGAAAGACTACAAATAAGGCGCAGTGTATACTTCTCAGGTGATGGGTGCACCAAAATCTCACAGATCACTAAAAAACTTACCCATGTAACCAAATACCACCTGTACCCAAATGACTTATGGAAAAATAAAAAATATTTGGAAAATATTACTTACACTGCCTTATGTAGAAGTAGAAAATCCAAAACCTTAATGTTCAAAAAATTGAATTGGTTACCAGAATTTTCTTCTAATCAAAGAACACCATGCCATATAGTTTTAAAGACAAATTTTACCGATCCTTAAGGAACAGCTAATTTTCATACTATGTAAAACTTATTGAGAATAGACAAAAGAAGTACAGCAATCCAGCTTGCTTTATAGGGCTAGTATAACAATGATAACAAAACTAGAAAAGTACAGTAGAAGAAAAGTGATTTATTGAACAAATCTCAAAAATGAACATAAATGCAAATTAGCCTAAGTGTTAGTAAACCAAGTTCAGCATTGCTATTATCAAACAAAATACATCTTTTTCAGATAAAATATAATTTTAGGCAAAAAAATTATAAGACATATAGAAGGCTTTTATATTTATAAAATTAGAAATAGAAAAAGAAGAGATATAATTTATGAGTTTATATATTTAATAAATTGGACCGTGGACAACATATGGGTCACAGTGATTGTTTCTCTCCAGGCATTAGATGCCCTTGGGCATCAATATGAGGAAGCAGCATCTTTTCAGTATATGAGGACACAATCTGAACACCAATCACCAACAAGCCTCTTACTGAACAGGTCTGATGGGGAAAAGCACATTAAAACCTGCTACAGGTGAGCTCTCTCAAGGTTAAAATAATAGGTTTTTTTACTTTCTTAGTTGGCAGTCATAAACATTAAAAAAACTTTAATTTAGCAAATTACATCCTGCCTCCTTTATATTTAAGTATAAGAATGGATTTAGGTAAAAGACTAAAAGAAAAATTTAAAGCACAAAGACACCATCGGATTGTCTCAGCTGGATTTCCGGAAATTATAAAATAGGGTCAGTTCATTTTCATTTCTTCATTCTCAGAAGACAGAGAAAATAGTAATAGTCACAGACCTCAGGGATTATGGTCGTCCTCACTTCACCTCACACTCCCCTTGCATTCAAAATCACTAGAAATTAAAGAACAGGGATTGCTTCTTGGTAAGAACTGTCCTTGTTTGTGCTCCAGTTAAATCTTACAAAAAGGGTTCAACAAATCCCACTGGGATGCTTTATCCTTCTTTCTGATCCCTTAACATGTTGCCCACAGCTTCTATAGCTCTTGCTACCTGGTCCTACTTTGGGAATTGGATTCCTTGTGGAGATTTGATGGAAAAAATTACAGAATATATGTTCGGGTTGCACAGAAGATAAAACTCAGTCAAAATGGGATGGGAATACTATATGGGTTCCACCTGCCCTGAAACAAGTGATTCTATTTGGAAGGTTGAATCTATATGAGTTCCACCTGCCCTAAAAACAAGTGAATCTATTTGGAAGGTTAGTAGGTGGGGATATTTTGGAGTTCCTGAAACTAAAATAAGCCTGGGGAATCTGTAATGTATGAAGAGGTCCTGGAAGTAATTGTATTCCTGCTTAAATTTCTGATCATGAATCCTACACTGACTGAAGAAAGTAACAGCAGCAACATCTTGACATCAACATCCTTCCAGAGAAAACCAGAGAGATAAGTACAGGGAGAGCCCTTTTCCCTAGGACAGGAGCAGATGGCAGTGTGCGTGATGGGTCTTTATCTCTCCACTGCAACACACTTTCATAGCATACTGAGGCATGGTTGATCTAAGCAGAGAATAACGTCATCTCTTCTGAGAGCTATCCAACCTCCACTGGGGCACTTTTTTCCCCCAATAATCTTTTTGGAATGAAAGAGTTTCAACACTAGCTTACAGATGCTTTTTACTAATTTGTGAAGCTTTACCTAACTCATATCCACCTTGTTTTCTCATTTTTAGTTGTTAATCCTGATGTAAAATGTAAGTTTTTATATTATCCAACCTTTATTTATTATACAATTTCAGAAGCACTGTAATAAAAAATCACAATGCAAACTGTAATTCTTACCTGTTAATGCCAAATTTCTGCTATTTACAGACTTAGCTACTAGACTAATTTAACATTTTTCTCTTTCAGATATACCTAATGTAGATAATTTATTTTGATGCTTTTGGTGTTGAATTTCTTGTTTAAATTGTAAGGTAAAATAGTTGTTTGTGGGGGGTTGCCTCATGTTTCTATTGCCTCATGAAATTAAGTAGTGGTTTTATAGAACAATGGGCCTAATTGACTGCAAACTAGATTTATGTTACATAAGAAGAAGAGTGACACAAAGGATTTGTTTTAAAATATGAAATTCATTTTTCTGAGCTATTTAAACATGAGAATTATCATATTTGTGAGTCCCTTTTTTCTAAATTTTTGTAGGTACATAGTAGGTGTATATATTTATGGGGTATATGAGATGTTTTGATACAGGCACGCAATGTGAAATAAGCACATCATAGGGAATGAGGCACCCAGACCCTCAAGCATTTACCCTCTAAGTTACAAAAAATCCAATTACATTCTTTAATGTGAATGTAATCCAATTACATTCTTTAATGTGAATGTAAAGAATTACATTCTTTAATTATTTTAAAATTACAATGAAGTTATTGACTATGGCCACCCTATTTTGCTAACAAATAATAGGTCTTATTCATTCTTTTTAATTTTTTTGTACCCATTAATGATCCCCACCTCCTCCCAATACCCCTGCTACCCTTCCCAGCCTCTAGTAACCATCCTTCTACTCTGTATGTCCATGAGTTCAATTGTTTTGATTTTTAGGTCCCGCAAATAAGTGGGAACATGTGATGTTTGTCTTTCTGTGCCTGGCTTATTTAATTTAACATAATGATTTCCATTTCCATCCATGTTGTTGCAAATGACTAGATCTCATTCTTTCTTTATGGCTGAATACTGCTCCACTGTGTATATGTACCACATTTTCTTTATCCATTCATCTGTTGATGGACACTTAGCTTGCTTCCAATTATTAGCTATTGTAAACAGTGCTGCAACATAGGAGTGCAGATATCTCTTCGATATACTGATTTCCTTTCTTTTGGGTATATGCCAGTGGGACTCCTGGAATATTTGTGAGTATTTTTAATAGTCTTATCAATCCAACCAGGTTACATGTGCCTACAAACAAGTACAGTCTTATATGCCCTCAGCTAAGACATGTAGCAGGACGTAATATATGTTCAGTTAATACCTGTGGATTTATATTTTGTGATTTAGCTACTTGGAGATGGGGGAAGATGAGATGACACCATTGGTCCTTCTATTTTATTGTGTGCCTTTATTATATGAAATTTTAAAAGTAGCATTGTTATCTTCATTGGACTCAGATATTGCAAGGAAGTTGAGGTGAAAGTGAATAACACTTTTCTATACATTTGGGACCACTGAATCCTATTGTTGGAAAGGATCTTGGCATTCTTCTAGTTCAACTTCTCACATGACAAAGGAATCCCATCTTGAATAGATGGTTAATTAATCTATGAATTAAAACACTCACTGAAATCTTCATTCCTAATAAAATTACTAATTTTCAAGAAGGCAATTTCAATAATGATCAGATTATTTATTGACTAAGATAATATCACCTTCCAATAATTTCTACTTTGAATTATGATTCTTGCTTTGAAGCAAAACTTATCTACCTTTGCTGATGAAATCTTTCAAATATTACTTGAATAGGGAACTCATTGATAGGAACTCAATTATGAATTTTTCTGTTTTTATTTTAGTGAAATCCAGATGGATTATGGGCTGAAGAAGGCTATAGAGTCAGGCAAAAAAACAGAAGCAATAATTTAGAAATTACAATGATTCAAACCTCAGTATACCCTCTTGGCTTTGGAAGGATTTTAAAACATTTGATAGGCCACAAAAAAAAACTAAAGAGTCACCATAAATAATAAGTAGTTATTTATTTGTACATGATAGTTAAGAAGCTATAAAATATGTTAAACATTCTATGAATATAAGTATATGGTTAGAGTTTTAGCTCTAGTTTTGGATAGAGATCAGTATTTTTTAAATCCCAGGCTATGACCCATCATGAAATAATTCAGCCAGCACTTTTACTAATGAAATAGAATACATTAGACTAGAATAAAACAGAAAACAAGCACATTACACAGAGTAAGGATTCAATTGTATATGTACTCATGTGTGTATGTACTGGGTAGACATTTATTACTGTAGGAATATAGCAGAATTTTAGAAATTTCCAAATGCAACTAAATAAATCATATGTAACAATTTCACTGCTGGGTATATATCCAAAAGAAATGAAGTGAACATATCAAAAAGATATCTTCACAGCCATGTTTATTGCAGCACTATTCACAGTAACCAAAATATGGAATAAGCCTAAGTGCTCATCAATGAATGAATAAAGAAAATGTGATATATATACACAATGGTATATTATTCAGCCATGTAAAAGAATAAAATCCTGCCATTTTCAGCAACATGGATGGAACTGGAGGTCATTACATTAAATGAAACAAGCTAAGCACAGAATGACAAATATTGTATGTTTTCACTTATATGTGGGAGCTAAAAATGTGCATCTCATGAAGACAGAGAGTAGCTTGGTGGTTACCAGATGCCAGGAGGGGTAGCAAAAGGGAAACAAAAGAGAAGTTGACTAATGAGTACAAACATATGGTTTCATAGAAGAAATAAGACCTAGTGTTCAATGGATTAGAAGAGTGACTATAGTTTACAGTAATCTATTGTATATTTCAAAATAGCCAGAAGAGAATAATTTGAATGTTTCTAACATAAAGAAAAGACAAATATTTAAGGTGACAGATAGCCCAAGTACACAGATTTGATCTTTATAAATTAAATGAGTATATTAAATTATCGCATGTACCCTAAAACTATTTACATCTATTATGTATCAATTAAAAATTGTTAAAAATAAATTTGCAAAAAACAGAAAAATATATATACAAATAAATAATATAAATACACATTTATAGTATAAGAAGTATACTATATATACAGTAGATTACTGTATGATGAAATGTACAATGAAATATACAATAGATTACTGTAGTCCAAGAAAGGTGACAGGTAACTACATTCTGATCATAAGACAACACAAACAGAGTAGACCCTCTATGGGTACAAAAGTCAAGACACAAAGATCTCTGTTTAAATCCAGCCAAAGTTAGGGCAAACTGCCATTCTCTTAACTTAATTCAAGATTATGCAATCAGTAAAAATCACAAGTTTAAAAAATAATTCATAAAACAAAGGCACAAATTGGTGAGAAGACCTGATAGCAGGATCATTGACATGGTCATCATCCCTCTTTCTATCCTTATATATAGACATAGACACCAGCACACTTCCACATGCATGGATATAAGTACCCTGCAATGAAGGAATACAGAAGGCAAGCATCTGATGTAATCATCACAAACTGAGGAAAGAGTCCATGCTATTAAGGCAATTTAAGTATTAACATATTTTGAACTGTAACGAAAGTAGATTTGAAAATAAGATGTAATGAATACTATAATATCATACTAACATTGAATTTATCATAGATGACAAAATGTCCTTGTGCTTCATTTGTAATGCATAATTTTCTCTTAGTAAGTGACTAAGATCAAAATATAATTGAAGGTGTTTTCTTAGAAAACACTCAAACAATAATATGTACAGTTGCAGCATGCTTAAACATTTGCCTTAGACATTCAGACTTGGTGAGCTCCTTGTTTCTTCTACAGGGAAATGGGGGGAAATCAGACTTCCATCACAGAGTTCCTCCTACTGGGATTTCCCATTGGCCCAAGGATTCAGATGCTCCTCTTTGGGCTCTTCTCCCTGTTCTACATCTTCATTCTGTTGGGGAACGGGACAATCCTGGGGCTCATCTCACTGGACTCCAGACTCCACACCCCCATGTACTTCTTCCTCTCACACCTGGCGGTCGTCGACATCGCCTGTGCTTGCAGCACGGTGCCCCAGATGCTGGTGAACCTCCTGCATCCAGCCAAGCCCATCTCCTTTGCTGGCTGCATGACCCAGATGTTTCTGTTTTTGAGTTTTGCACATACAGAATGTCTCCTCCTGGTGGTGATGTCCTATGATCGGTACGTGGCCATCTGCCACCCTCTCCGATATTCTACCATCATGACCTGGAAAGTCTGCATCACTTTGGCATTGACTTCCTGGATTTTAGGAGTCTTATTGGCCCTTGTCCATCTAGTGTTACTGCTACCACTGTCCTTCTGTGGACCCCAGAAACTTAATCACTTTTTCTGTGAAATTATGGCTGTTCTCAAACTTGCCTGTGCGGATACCCACATTAATGAGGTAATGGTTTTGGCAGGGGCAGTGTCTGTGCTGGTGGGAGCCTTCTTTTCCACTGTAATATCTTATGTTCATATTCTATGTGCCATTCTAAAGATCCAGTCAGGAGAGGGGTGCCAGAAAGCCTTCTCCATCTGCTCCTCCCACCTCTGTGTGGTTGGACTCTTTTATGGCACAGCCATCATCATGTATGTTGAGCCCCAGTATGAGAGCCCCAAGGAGCAGAAGAAATATCTCCTGCTGTTTCACAGCCTCTTCAATCCCATGCTTAATCCCCTAATTTATAGTCTTAGGAACAAGGAAGTCCAAGGTACTCTAAAGAGGATGCTTGAAAAGAAGAGAACTTCATGAAAGCCTGAAAGAATAGTAAAATAGCTGGCTTCAAAGGGCTTTGAGATTACATCTGAACCCATCCCTACTCAGGATACATAATCACACTCTAGAGAACCCTTTCCATCTTCTTGAAATTTTCCTATGACTACCTCCCGAGAAAGCCCATTCTGCTTTCCTCTCTCCAGCATTGAAGGTCGGAGCTGCACAATTAATAAAAATATGTTTATACTAGCTGTATAGTGTACACACTTTTAATATAATTATGTGAAATATTCTGAAAGTTGGAAATAAATGTGTATCTTTTTGTTCTGTAAATAAGACTTGAAGGCGAATTTTTGTAGAATAAGGATATGGGAGTTAGGAGAGACTGATAACAAAGTCATTATTTAATTATTCTTAATTTAGAACGTGCCGGCCAGACACGGTGGCTCACGCCTGTAATCCCAGCACTTTGGGAGGCCGAGACAGGTGGATCACGCGGTCAGGAGACCGAGACCATCTTGGCTAACACGGTGAAACCCCGTTTCTACTAAAAATACAAAAAATTAGCCGGGCGTGTTGGCGGGCGCCTGTAGTCCCAGCTACTCGGGAGGCTGAGGCAGGAGAATGGCGCGAACCCTGGAGAGGCGGAGCTTGCAGTGAGCTGAGATGGCGCCACTGCACTCCAACCTGGGGGACACAGCGAGACTCCGTCTCAAAAAAAAAAAAAAGAAAGTGTCATATTTAGGCCAGGCGTAGTGTCTCATGCCTGTAATCCCAGCACTTTGGGAGGCCAAGGCAAGGAGATCATGAGGTCAGGAGATTGAGACCATCCTGGCCAACATGGTGAAACCCCGTCTCTACTAAAAACACAAAAATTAGCCAGGCATGTTGGCGCAGACCTGTAATCCCAGCTACTTGGGAGGCTGAGTCAGGATAATTGCTTGAACCCAGGAGGTGGAGGTTGCAGTGAGCCAAGATCGTGCCACTGCACTCCAGCCTGGGTGACAGAGCGAGACTCCATCTCAAAAAAAAAAAAATGCTATATTTAAAAATAGGTCTACATATAAAATATTTGCACATATTTCTCTGGTGGTGACATTTTCTAAGGTATAATCCACGTAGATTAGAAAGAGCATGAGCCATGTCTTCACAGGAAAGAGAATGGAGAATATAACTGTAATGCAACTAACAAGAAAACCTGGGCAGATGTCATGCTAGTAAATATATAGACATATTGGAGCCTTCTCCGTTCCTTTTTCTCTGCTTGTGGAGTGCAGGGGAAAGCCATGGGACGTAGAGCTGAGAGGAAGAGAGCACAATGGGAATAACAGAGCTCATGGAAGAACTATATGTTTTCTCTCATGGGTTTGGTCAATTGTCTCCTATTGAAAATGATTAAAACTCAGAGGAGATAATCCTGAAAAGTAAGAACAGACTGTAACTGTTGTGGCTAGTTGATCAATATTACTACAGCTGGAAATTATCAGGAATAATTTAATTTTAAATTGAGGTATTTGAAGTAATTTTAATAATCTTTTTATTCAAACATGAAACTCTTCCACTTAGTTATAAAGTGATAGAAAATAATAGTGAAGAAGTATTAGGAAAGGATGTATAAAGATACTTCTGTTTCTCAACTCTTCTCTCAAATTAAGTATAACTTAATTAAGCCTAAATATGCAAACTGTATAAAAGGGAAATATTCAACTTTGTTAAAAAGATGTTTTTTTGTGAAAAAGTATGTTGATGAGGAAAATACATGGATTTTTCTCTCACAAAGCATCCCTTTTGTTAGGACATCTGTTATTGCAGACATGATCACATAACCAAAAAAAAAGTGGGGGAGTAAAAACACATGTACTTTGGGTTCAGCTAGACCTGGGATTTTACAAAGTTCTGCCAGTTGCTAGATGTGGAAACTTTTGTAATTTACTTAAATTCTTCAGAAATTATTATGTATAAAATGAGGTCAGTAATGCCAAGCTCACAGATTGTTGGGAAGATTAGAGGAAATACATGAAAATGTTTAGCAAGATCTATAACTCATAATAACACAGTAAGTAGTATTCATTAATATTATCCACTACATATACTTATTATGTCCTTAAAGAACTAGAACACCAACTTATAAGTGCAATAACAAAATATCAGATTTCCCATTTTACCAGAAAGAAGGAGGAATGTTGCAAAATTTAGCGTTTTATCTGATACAAAATGCCATGATGTCAAATAATTTATGAAGTAAATGATTCACAGAGCTTTTCCTTTGCAATCTCAGTTCTCTGAAAGAGTAATGACTATTTTAAAATACATGGATAAATACAATTCAAAATTGCTAAAATTCATATATGTGTGTGTATATATTACACACACACATACACACACACATCAGTGCTAGGTCCTGGAAACAAAAGGACGAATAGGGCACATTTCCTATTACTTTATTCATGTGTAGTAGGAGAATTAAATGGATATATGATGGAAATTATCAACTTATATAATAAGTTAATAACTGAGCTCTGCCCAGGATGCTATTGTAGCCCAGAGGAAGGATAACTCCCCCAGAATGGGAGTGTTTCAGTAAGACTTCCTGGAGTGGAAGTCTGCATCACTCTGGCATTGACTTCCTGGATTTTAGGAGTCTTACTGGCCCTTGTCCATCTAGTGTTACTGCTACCACTGTCCTTCTGTGGACCCCAGAAAGTTAATCTTAAGTAAGCATAAGTAAGAGTTAGCCATCAGGGGCTGGGAGAAAGGCGTGGTGTGGCAGGAAGGGGTGTTCCATCCAATGAGTGAAAGAAGCAAAGACCCAAAGGGAGTAAGCAGCTTGTAAGCTGCGGGGGAAGCAAACATAGCTCAGGGTTTTCCAGGTATAAAATACAAGGCAGGGACTGATGACAGGTGAGCTTGGAGAGAACAAGCATGGAGGAACACATATTCCAGGCTAATGACCCTGAAGTACGGCCTATATGAAATGCGAAGCCAGATTATAAGTATGAAAATGCCAAGTAATCAGACCTGAATTTAGAAAGATCTTCTGGAGCTATGAGGACTGAGTATTTGAATTGACCAAACTGATATCAGAGCTACTGTAATATAAAGGCTATCATATCAGTTGAAGCAAGAAATGCTGGCAGAGGCTGAACGGAAAAGTACACATGAGAATAAAGTGGGGGTGATTTCACTGGGAGATGATAAAGTAAAATGAGCATAATTTGGTGGTTGGTAAGTATAAAGAATAAATGGAGGAAAGAATTTTTTTTTTTTTTTTTGAGACAGAGTCTCCCACTATCAACCCAGGTTGGAGTGCAATGGCGCGATCTTGGCTCACTGCAACTTCCGCCTCCTGGGTTCAAACGATTCTCCTGCCTCAGCCTCCCAAGTAGCTGGGATTACAGGGGTGCATCACCATGCCCAGCAAATATTTTGTATCTTTAGTAGAAATGGGGTTTCACCATGTTGGCCAGGCTGGTCTCGAACTCCTGACCTCATGATCTGCCCACCTCAGCCTCCCAAAGTGCTGGGATTACAGGCGTGAGCCACCGCACCCAGCCGAATAATTTTTTTAAAAATTTTTTAAATTAAAGACACACAGAGAAATGTATAAATCATAAGTTAAATTCAGTGAAAGATCATGAAGTAAACACATTATGTAACCACTTTCGGGGAGGAGAAATAAAACATTCTGGCCTTCCGGAGCTACCATCATGCTCTCTCCCAATTACTGCACCTTCCCTCCTCCCACAAGATACCTATTACCCTAACTTCTAACAGCACATATTAGCATTGTATTTTCTTGGACTTTATATAAATTGGATAGGTACATAAAGAGTGTACATTCTTTTCTATCTGCCTACTTTCATTCATTATTGTCTTTGTGAGATTCACCCAGGTTGCTGTATGTAGCATAATTTATTATTTTTCTTTGTTTTATAGCATTACATTGCACAAATATTTCATAATTTATTCACCACATTCCTAATGGATATTTGAATTGCCTACAATTTTAGCTATAACAAATAATTATTCCATGAATGGTATTATATGCACCTTTCAGGAGACATATATAATCACTTCTGTTGGCTACATATGAATGGGAATACTGGGTTATAAAAACTCTAGACTTTCGGTCAGGCGCGGTGGCTCACGCCTGTAATGCCAGCACTTTGGGAGGCTGAGGTGGGGGGATTACAAGGTCAGGAGATCGAGACCATCCTGGCTAACACGGTGAAACCCTGTCTCTACTAAAAATACAGAAAATTAGCCGGGCATGGTGGCAGGCGCCTGTAGTCCCAGCTATTCAGGAGGCTGAGGCAGGAGAATGGTGTGAACCCAGGAGGCGGAGCTTGCAGTGAGCGAAGATCACGCCACTGCACTCCAGCCTGGGTGACAGAGCAAGACTCCGTCTCAAAAACAAAACAAAACAAAACAAAAAAAACCAAAAAACAAAAAAAACCCTCTAAACTTTCATCTGCTTTGGAATGAACTCTTGAACTCTTGAAAGTCAGCCTATAGAATTGTTATTATTATTTACTCATGACCTGCATTGTGTCTCACACTGAGCTCTATATTGTAAATACAATGATGAGCTCTCTCTATATATACAGTTTCTGCCCTTTGGTGTTTCATCCCTCCCTATCTTTCTCCTTGCTGGTGCTATGAACCTCTGACTTGGTTGGATGGCCCCAAAGACCTCTTGTATGCAGTTTTTTCTCTTGCACCATGATGTTTTCCTCTGAAGTCACTATCCTTACTTTTCTGATATTTGCATCTACCACCTCTTAGACAATAGCTGACTTTCATGGGCACTGTGTTGCTCTGGATTGAAAAGAAAAGAAAAAAAAATTCTGGCTGTGAAAATCTGGGTATAGATTGACTCTTTGTGCTTGCATATTTGCTATAATTATCTTAAGCCCATTGGAAAACTCTAAGTTTGAATAATTACAGTGTGGCTCTGTTCGTAGCATGTAACTTATTTTCAAAAGAGAATAACATGGCTCCCTTCTGCGATTATTTAGTTTTTGCATTTCTCATTTCTGTTTCCAGGAATAGAAAATCATCTTACGACAAGACACCTAAAAATGCTTGGTAGAATGTTAAGCAAACCAACATCACTTTAAATGTAGAGCTGTGTCTGCAGGAGAGTCAATAAAATTCTCAAGAGGACAAAGATTAGACAGAAAATAAATGGACAATTATGAGAACACAAGCTAGCAACTAGCAGAAAAACAAGTTAGGAAAACGGAAGACTATACCTGCTTTTAGGGTATTTGTCAATCCCCCAAATCACAGATTAAAATGACTCCAGAGGTCATATTTTATAAACCCTTCACCTGTGTAAGGTGTTATGTTAGAGTAAGAATGCCTTCATAAAAACTGGAACCTCTACCCATTGCTACCAGGAATCAATAATAAGAGTTGTGACTGACATTTGATTGAAGCTAAGGAATTCAGAGGAAAATAAAATATTATTTAAATTGTTGAAAGAATTAACTGCCAACCTAGAATTCTACATCCAGAAAATATAATTCAAATTTCAGATGAAAGAAAGATGTTATCACAGAAGATAAGAAAGAAAAAAAGAAACACCTCAGAGTGTTCATGCACTTCAGGAGACACAAAAGGAGATTTTTTCTGGCTGAAGAAATGCTCCCGGTGGTGTTAATGAGTGGTTGTGTTTTATGCTCCTGAACACGATGATTTTTTTTGTGTCCTTGGTTTTTTTAAGTGAGGCTGTGATACGACCATGATATGCCTATGTCATATTTTCTTTGCATGTATCCTGACGTGAATTGTTAAACTTTCTAAATTCATGGAAGGGTTGACTTTATATATTAGAAATGCTCAGACAAAATGTGATTTGGGCCCACTTTATTTTCTCTTCCTCTTGGGAATATGATGGCGTTTTTTTTTTTTTTTTTTTTTTTGAGATGGAGTCTCACCCTGTCGCCCAGGCTGGAGTGCAGTGGCAAGATCTTGGCTCACTGCAAGCTCCGCCTCCCGGGTTCACGCCGTTCTCCTGCCTCAGCCTCTCGAGTAGCTGGGACTACAGGCGCCGGCCACCACACCCGGCTAATATTTTGTATTTTTAGTAGAGACGGGGTTTCACCGTGTTAGCCAGGATGGTCTCGATCGCCTGACCTCGTGATCCACCCGCCTCGGCCTCCCGAAGTGCTGGGATTACAGGTGTGAGCCACCGCGCACGGCCTATGATCGACTTTTAACATCAACCTACATAATCTGCTCCATATCTGTTATTTTGCTTTTATGCGTTTATCTGCATGTTTCCTATTTATCTTTACTTGACTTTAATAATCTTCTAATGAATCAGGATAATCAGTTAAATTATCCAATGTTTCTTAATTTCAGATATTACAGTTTGTTGTTTTAGAATGAATATTTGATTATTTCTATAGATTATATTTATCTGTGGAATATGACAATTTTTTCAATTTTTTATATCTCTGCCTCCATTTTCTTCAAAATATGAATTATTGTTACTTTGAAGCCTTTATTCAGAGCTTTGGTATCTGTGTTATGTTTGGCAGTCTCCCAGTGACTACATTCTCTCTTGATTATTGATCAGTTTTTTTTCTTTTTTTTCAAGTTTTCAATGAAAAGTTGTAGAGGCTTTCTGTTATGTAATTTTCCTCTAAAGATTTTTGGTATTTTTTTTTCATAATTACGATTGTGGCAGATCTACTGTTGTTTGTAGGGCACAATTTCTCTTTCTATAATGTGGTCTTTATCAAAATCTCTCAACCCTGGTAGATTGTAACTCCAACATCCCCAGCACTTCGAAATTTCTAAAATCACTTTTCAGTTCTGTTCAGCACTTCTCAGCAGTCAGCCCCACAGAAACCAGCCTTTGCTATGCCTCCAGGAATCTTGCATGTTTGGATTCAGCCTAGACTTAGGAGAAACACCTATGCATACTTTGGAAGTTCCTTTTGTACATATTCTTCTTCAGTGCCCTACCCTGAAATCTCAGTTTCCACATTGGCCCTCAACTTCCCTGTTATTTGTACCCAAGGAGACTTCAGCTTTCTCCTTGGACTCCGTTTTGCTAGTTGCTGCTTGGAAAATGACTCTTGGGAGGAAGTCTGTTTGAATGTGAGGCTTGTGTCATATTTCCCTTCTCACAAGGATCACATCACTGTACTATCTACTTTCCTGCAACTGAAAATGGCTGTTCCATATATTTCATTTAGTTTTATATTTACAGTGGGAGGGAAAGACTGATACTACTCCAAGTTCCTTACAGTTATTTTCTTCTATCTCACTTCTTGATTTTCTGACCTTTTTAGGACTGGTAATCTGGCTGTTACCAATCTATATTCTCTATAGTTATTGCATGAAAATTAGCGACTGAATTTACTAAGGACACAATTACTTCTAAGACACACTCATTAGAAGCTTAAGCTCACATCAGATTGATTTGGCAGCTTTAGCTTGCTTGAGAAAGCACTGAATTTTGTGAAAGAAAAAATTCTTTGGCAAATTAATGTTCAGGACTTGGCAAATGTTTCATAAGTTAACTAATGAGTGAAGTGGCGGAAAGAGATTGTGCCAATTTAAAGAGGCACGTGTGTCCAACCATTTCAGTTCTTAGTTTTGTTTTTTAGAGTAGAGTTTGTATTTGTAGTTAGGTAAGAATTGGGACACAAGAAGAAACAAGAGAGGACTCAAATTACTAAAATCAGGAAAGAAAAAGGGGACATTGCCACTTCCTTATGGAAATAAAATGTTTATAAGAAATATGAGCAATTGTATGCCAAAAAATTAGATAATCTAGATGAAATGAACAAATTCTTAGAAAGATACAAAGTATAATACTGACTCAATAGGAAATAAAATGTAAATAGAACTATAAAAGTAAAGAAATTGCATTGATAATTTTAAAACTTTTTAAAAAGAAAATCCCAGAACTGCGTGGCTTCCCTGATGAATCCTACTAAAGGTTTAATGAAAAATTAACACTAAATCCTTCACGAAGCCTTCCAAATAGAGAATGGAATACTTCCCAGTTCATCCTCTGAGGCCAGTATTATATTCATACCAAAACCAAGAAAAAGATATTACAAAAAAGAAAACTAAAGAACAGTACCCCTTTTTATATACATGCCCAAATCCTGAACAATATGTAATACTAGCAAACGAGTTTAAATTGCATATCAAAGGTTTTACATATTATGACCAAACTGGATTCATCCCTAGAATCTGAGGTTGCTTTCATATCCAAATACCAAATCAATAAAGTATACCACATTAATTACATAAATGAGAAAAACAACATGATCATTTTAATAGCCAAATTAAAGCATTTGACAAATCTAATAATAATAAAAATACTCAACAAAATAAAAATGAAGAGTACTTTCTCAACCTGTCAAAAGGCATAGATGAAAAAGCTCACAGCTAACATTGTACTTAATGGTGAAAGATAGAATGCTTTTTCTTAAGATCAGGAACAATACGTGGATGTCCACTCTCACCACTTTGATTCAACATTGTATTGGAGGTGTATAGTGGGACAGTTAGACTTGTCTTGTTCCAATAGCTTGGAACCTTAGCCATGAGATAGCAATACCAGCTTGCCGGTTTTACTTTGCCCCAACAGACAATCCAATGAAGACTGTGAACCAAAATTTTGGGTAAAACAGTCTCCATGGCAGTTTGATTTTTAAAGGCCAAACCTCCCCAGACTCCATAGATCACTGGGGCCAAACAGTACCAAAGGAGGGTGTCATACATTAACCAGGCCCCCTGCTTAGAACTACAGCACAAAAGCCTGGATACATGCAATGCTGTTCCACTTTCCCAGTAGACATTGAACCCCAGGTTCCAAATAATGTTGGGGCCAAGCAGCATTGCAACTGTGAGAGAAAATTCTAACGAGGGCTTAATACTAGACCGCAGAACCTCTGCCAAGAGCGTCCTCTTTGGAGAGTTTGAGGTCTAGAGGATTCCCCGGGGTGTCCTCCTGTGGGGTCCAGTCTTAGAGTTCCAGACCTCTCTGGCCTCAGGTGGGCACTGGTGCCACCTTGCATGCATTCCCTCCAGAACCTACTATGAGCTTTAGAAGAATAGCCATGAACTGTAATGTGAACTGGATGCTGGGTGGGCCTTTATGTTCCTTAGCCAGTTGAGTAGATAAGGGAAGATTTTAGCATAAGAAAAGAATGTTCAAGTTGCTTGAAACACATGCGAGTTTGCTGTGAGCTGGTGCACCACACGTAGGGATCAGGGACCACGCGTGGAAAATATGTATATATATATAAAAGTTTTTCCCCCTATGGGTAGGGTAATTATAACCTCATTCCTAGGCCTTAAGACACTACCAGGGAGTGACCCCAGCCAATTGCCCTCAATTTCCAAGGAGCTACTAGGAAACAGCACTGAAAGACTGAAAAAGAAAGACAGGGAAAAAAATGAAAAAGATCCTGGTCCCTTAAGCGAACCGGCGGCGGCAGTCAGTCTTCTCCACATGGAAAGCCCCTAGTTTCACTGGCCATGGCCAGAAACCTGCAGTTGCTTCCATGTTTAGTTGCTGCCCACCAAGGGTCCTGGTTTGGAAAGAAAAACAGAAAGAGATTCCCCTGTATGGAGCAGAAGGAAAAGAATAAATCCCAAACTTTGGGCTTACCTCTTACTCCTGGGTGGCTCGCCAAAATATGCTAACGGTGGAGGGTGTCCAGGTTCTTGGCATCTTGAACAAAAGAATTGGACAAAATGCACAAACAAAGAAACGACAAAGGGCTTTATTGAAAATGAAAGTATACTCCACAATGTGGGAGCGGGCCTTAGCATCAGGGTTCAAAGGCCCTGTTACAGCGATTTTGTGAGTTTAAATGCCCTCTTCTTGGGGTACACCCCATTTAAATGAAGAGGATGAAGTAAAGTTAGAAAGTCATTTATGGTGTATGCCCTATAGAGAGGATATTTCCTGTTATAGCTGAAGTATGAATCGGCCTTATGTTTCCTCCCTCCAGACCCTATTTTCCTGCCCCACTGATCACCCTCATAATACTGAAGTTTCTTATTAAAGTAGCTACAGAAGATTTTGACGCACTTGATTCTAGTAATTGTAGGGAGATACTTTAGGCCTGAGGGTATCATTAATAAAATAAGTAAGAGAAATAGTTCCTTATAATATCTCTCTTTAAAATCAGAAATGACAGAAAAATCTTGGAAATTACAGGTAGGGATTGATGAGAAATATATTATATTGTAATTCAAATATACTTTTTTAAAGAGAGTGTCCTAGCGGCATCCTCTTTAAATAAGGGTCCAACTGAGATGAAAAATCATGAACTTAAAATTCATTATGGCTCTGTGTTTTTCTCCAAGTCTGTTGTCTACATGACAGACATGTCATTTGTCTGCCATATAATTTTAATCAAACACCGAAATGCTTAGAGTTGAGAGATCTTTATTATTATTATTATTATTTTGAAACAGAGTCTTGCTCTCTAGCCCAGGCTGGAGTGCAGCGGCACGATCTCGGCTCACTGCAACCTCTGCCTCCCGGGTCCTGGTTCAAGCAATTCTCCTGCCTCAGCCTCTTGAGTAGCTGGGATTACAGGCACGTGCCAACATGCCAAGCTAATTTTTGTATTTTTAGTAGAGATGGGGTGTCACCATGTTGGCCAGGCTGGTCTTGAACTCCTGACCTTGTGATCCCCTGCCTTGGCCTCCCAAAGTGCTGGGATTACAAGCATGAGCCACTGTACCCGGCCGAGAGATTTTTTAAAAATTGAATCTAAAGGTAGGATACATATTTGAAAGAAAAGATATGTTTTTTAAATGGAACAAATAGAGAGTGGCTTGAAATTGAAGGAAAGGAAAAAAGCACAGGGGAAATAGAATCTGATCTCTATCAGCTTCCAAATTTAAAAATATACTGCAATGGAAATTTTTGCAATTCACACACAATAAGACTTTCGGCAGACCAAGACTCCTCTCCTTGGAGGAGATACAGTCCTCTGAGGTGCTGCCTTAACAAGCTCCATGGGGGCCACATTTATCACATCATCAAATTTCAACCTTTTTGAAAGGGGGGTATGTAGGCAGGCAAAATTTTGAGATCACAATAAGTCTAGATGCTTGGAGACTGTGCCATGTGACATAACCCATATAAGGTGACTTATCTGTGAAATGTGCATGCCAAGATTCTCCTGGGTAGGAACAACCTTGCCATTCTTCCTGAGTTCTCACTTCTTTGCATAAGCAGGAACACAAGTGCACATGCGTGCACACACACACAAACAGAGGCATACACACCTGCCCCACACCTACACACGCTGACACTCATACGAATAACAAAGCTGGAGGATAGAGAGGAGAGGGGAAGGTGTTACACTGCTCAGTAGGGAAGACATAGGATGGTGGGAAGACGCTTCATATGTTGTTCTCTGGACTCCACAGGTATGTCTCTGGATAATGGGCCTCTTTTAAGTAATCAGAGTATAAAGTCTACATATCTAGAAGCCCCCTGAACATCCCTGGGTCCTGTCCCAGTCCTCAGGATAGAAAGAGATCTGGGACTCATCGTCTACCCAACCTGCTTCAGGTGCAGGCAATTCAGCTCCAACCTTTCCGCATCTCTGTGTTTTCCTGTGCATTCAAGGGCAATTTGAGGCAAATACCAGAAATAGTATCTTCCTTTGTATTAATCATTATTTATACACTGATTAGTGGTTTCCAGGAGAAGGCAGAAGACTGGCAGAAATGTTCAGGTTTAGGATGGAGGAAAAAAAGAGAGAGCGAGCGAGAACACCTTCACGGAGACCCCTTCCTGGCACTATGCCAGGTCTCAGAGTAACATCTGATACTTACAGTGTCAAAACGTTACATAGGTTTCAGACTTGCCTTTGTCCCACCCTTTTCCTATCACTTGTGGGAAGGAGCTGGTAGCAGTAGATCACTCTGGTTCATGGTGTCAAACTGGAAGAGGCATAAGAGTCATATATATATTCCTGCTGCCTCCTTTACAAATGAAGGAGGTGAAGCTCCAGGTGTTACATAGTTTTTCCTGTGATTTCTTCATTTCTTCTACCGAGAATCATCTGCTTCTGCTACATCCTAGGAATACCCTCCAGCCAGCAAAGTAACATTAGGGTTCCTTTTCTTTGTTGCCCTGGAGGGAGATGTCAGGTGCCAGGGGAAAGTCCTAGAGTTATTTGACAAGGATTTCTCTCCTATTTCTTCTAATAGCAGAGAAGCCCATATAGGTGCCAGACAAGCCAGATAAGCTTTTCCTGATTTGTGTACCAAGAATGGTTGTCTTCATCTTATGGAAACCCTTTATCAGATCCTAGAGTGGGATAACTTGACTATGGTGTCACATATTAAATTTTGGGGAAAAGTCCTGGCTAGTGGAAATACGGTAAAATATTCCTACTACAAAAATAACTTCTCTGATTCACATGTATCTGGCAACACATTAAGTGAAAATTTTGCTTTTAAAAAATAAACACAATTGAATGCATTCTTATTCCCTTTACATCCATTTAAAGGGAGAGATGTTTCTCACTTTTGAGAAGGAAGTTTTTTAAAATAATGTGTTTTCTTACAATTTAAAAATGGAAAAGGAAAACAGAATCCTGTCTGTATTTGTAACACTGTAATGACACAATCTTTTCAGTGTGGATTGTTTAAGAAACGTTCGCTACTCTCAAAAACATACCCCTAGCTTGTATTCTGGAGAGTTTGTTTTGATCCTTCCTATTTAGATCTAAAACTGACCTGATGTTTATTTTTGTGCATGGTGTGTGGTAGGGGCCATGTTTTGGTGTTCTTCGACATGGATAGCCAACCGACACAGCATAATATTATTTTTCAAAAACACCAGTGCCAACTTTGTCTTAGATCAAGAGTGTGCATATTCTTCTGGATTTTGTTTTGTTTTGTTTTGAAACAGCGTCTCGCTCTGTCTCCCAGGCTGGAGTGCAGTGGCACGATTTTGGCTCACTGCAACCTCTGCCTCCTGTTCAAGCAATTCTCCTGCCTCAGCCTCCCGAATAGCTGGGACTACAGATGCCCAACACCACGCCCTCCTAATTTTTGTATTTTTAGTAGAGACAGGGTTTTGCCATGTTGGCCAGGCTGGTCTCGAACTCCTGACCTCAAGTGATCCACCCACCTCGGCCTCCCAAAGTGCTGGGATTACAGGTGTGAGCCACCGCGCCCAGCCGTTCTTCTGGATTTTTGAGTTAACCACTCTGTGTCACTGGTATATTTGTTTATCCTTCTTCCACTGCCACATTCACTCAATTGCTGTGGCTTTATAAGTCTGGAGAGTCAATGGAGTAAGTTCTTCCATTCATTCTTCTTTCTCAAGATTTCCTTGACTATTCTGGACCTTCTGCATTTCATATAACATTTAGAGTACAATTATTAATTTTCATTGATAAAAAAACTTGCTGGTATTCTGATTTGAATTTCATTGAAAGTATAGATCAAATTGAATAGGTTTAGAATCTTTACAAAACTTCCAATCTATAAACACACAATTATATTAATGTATACATGCATATATACATATCTCATTAATTTTGTACATTGACCTTGAATCCAGAAGTTTTTATAAATACACAGTAATTTTAATAGTTCATTGATTGAGTTTAAAATTTTTCTACAAACAAAATCATGGTGGTGTAAATAATGACATTTGATATTCTTCATTTTAATTCTTATGCTTCTTACTCTTTCTTTTGGTGTTATTACTGGCTACTTTATTAATCAACATTAAATAGAAGTGGTTAGTACCTTCTTCTTCTTCGAAGAACACCAAAACATGGCCCCTACCACACACCATGCACAAAAATAAACACCAGGTCAGTTTTAGATCTAAATAGGAAGGATCAAAACAAACTCTCCAGAATACAAGAGGAGCACCTTATATTCTAATGCAAGGGGAAAGCTTTTAAACATTCACCGTTAAGTATAATGTTTCTGTTGGTTTTATGGATATTCTTTTTCAGATTTAGGAAAAGTTTTTGTCTATTTGAATCTTGCAGTCTTTTCATAGGGCATAAATTCTGAATTGTCTATTCTTTGTGGATTTTTCTTTTCATTATTATTGTATAGTATCACCTACATGCTTACACATGCTGATAACAAAATTGCTACTACCAGTTTCTACAACATGTTTTCCATTATTTTATTTTTAATCTCGGTGTGGGGGTGTGCGTGTGCATGTGTGTGTGTGTGCGCGTGTGTGCGTGTGCGTCTGCGTCTGTGTGTGTGTGTTAGAGAGAAAAAAGAGAATTTATGTTTAAGGGGTTTAGGTGTGGCACATAAGGATTTTGTAACTCGATTTTCTGTTTTCAACTAAAGTGCCTAACTCTGTCTTTTAATGCCCTATAAGTACATATAATGTGATAATTTATATACACAGACTTATTTATACTTGCTTATTTTGTGTTTTCTATTTGTCAAAAAAATTGCTTTTTTTTCTTTTTTGGCCTGCTGTTGGATTGATAACGTTTTCAAATTTCTTTTATTTACTTTGTAATTTTGGAAACCACATATTTTGTTTATTTTTTATGATTCTCACTAATTGCTAATACACAAGTTTAATACATTATTTTAACAAATCTAAAGTCACTCCTAGTTTCAATTTTCATCAAGAGTCTTAGCATTCTTTATTTTTCACACATCTCCCTCTGTTTACTTATTATTTCCAAAAGATTTAATTTTACCCTTTCAAAACACCAAAATAATCATTTTATAGCCCATTGTTTATAAAATTTACTGAGATATTCTATTTGAAATTATGTGTAAATATTGTTTTCATATATTCGATTCACCTCTGGGTTCACTTTTGTTCTTATTAAGGAATATAGGGCTATATTGAGGATCTATAGGTCCTCAGTGCCCTTCTGATTTGTATATCCAATAATATCTTACTTTGCTCTCATTCATTCAAGAGAGTTACTGCAGATATAAAATTGTGGAATGACAGCTTCTCCCCTTCTTGGCAAAGTAACAACAGTAGCTCATTATCTTCTGAACTCTTCTTGTTGATGAGAAGTCTCTGTCAGTGGAATTGTTGCTCTTATTAGATCATTGCTTTTACCTTTGATAATTTTTAATATTACCTCTTACTACTAGAAAAATTAAATTTTAAGAGAATATAACAAAGGCTTTAAGAGACAAATAAAATTATAGTTTCTATTAGAAATCAAAAAGGTTATGAAACAAAAAGGCACTATAATGAACCAAGAAATATGTGTAGATATGTATTATAGACATATATAAATATATATATTTATATGTATACATACATATGTGTATCAACTTAAAAATCTAAGAAAAACAAAGTTATTAAATTTTTAAAAATTAAGATGAGATAAATTTTAAACCGATGTCAGTCATAGGATAAACTCTGTAGGTTTTATGGATACTCTTTTTCTTCTTTTAACTTTTAAATTCAGGTGTACATGTGCAGGTTTGTTACATAGGTAAATTCATGTCATAGGGTTTGTGGTACAGATTATTTCATCACTCAGGTATTAAGCCTAGTACCCATTAATTGTTTTTCATGATCCTCTCTCTCCTCTCACCTTCTGCCTTCTGATAGGCCCCTGTGCCTGTTGTTTCCCTCTACGTGTCCATGTGTTCTTATCATTAAGCTCCCACATATAAATGAGAATATGTGGTATTTGATTTTCTGATCCTGTTTTCATTTCCTAAGGATAAAGACCTTCAGCTCCATCCATGTTCCTACAAAGGACATGATCTCATTCTTTTTCATGGCTGCATAGTATTCCATGGCGTATATGTACCACATTTTCTTTATCTAGTCTACCAGTTTTTAATATTTAGGTTGATTCCATGTCTTTACTATTACGAATAGTGCTGCAGTAAATGTACATGTTTATGTGTCTTTACAATGGAATGATTTATATTTCTTTGGGTGTATACCCAGCAATGGGATTGCTGAGTCAAATGGTAATTCTGTTTTTAGTTCTTTAAGAAATCTCCAGGGCTGGGTGCGGTGGCTCATGCCTGTAATCCCAGCATTTTGGGAGGCCAAGGCAGGCGGATCATTTGATGTCAGGAGTTCAAGACCATCCTGGTCAACATGGTGAAACCCTGTTTCTACTAAAAATACAAAAATTAGCCAGGTGTGATGGCGTGTGCCTGTAATCCCAGCTACTCAGGAGGCTGAGGCAAGAGAATCGCTTGAACTTGGGAGGCGGAGGTTGCAGTGAGCCAAAATTGTGCCATTGCACTCCAGTCTGGGCAACAGAACAAGACTCCGTGTCTAAATAAATAAATAAGAAAGAAAGAAAAAGAAAAGAAATCTCCAAACTCCTTTCTGCAGTGATTGAATTAGTTTACATTCTCACCAACAGTGTATAAGTGTTCCCTTTTCTCTCTGCAGCCTTGCCAGCATCTGTTATGTTTTGACTTTAACAGTAGCCCTTCTGACTGATGTGAGATGATATCTCATTGTGGTTTTGATTTGCATTTATCTGATGATTAGTGAGGATGAGGATTTTTTCATATGTTTGTTCGCTGCTTGTATGTCTCCTTTTGAAGTGTCTGTTCATACCATTTGCTTACTTTTTAATGGGATTTTTTTTTGTAAATTTGTTTAAGTTCCTTTCAGATGCTGGATATTAGACCTTTGTCAGATGTATAGTTTGCAAATAATTTCTTCCATTCTGTAGATTGTCTATCTACTTTGTTGATAATTTCCTTTACTGTGCAGAACTCTTTAGTTAATTGGATCCCATTTGTCAATTTTTGCTTTTATTGCAATTGCTTTTGGCATCTTCATCATGAAATTTCTGTCCATTTCTATGTCCAGAACAGTACCACCTAGATTTTGTCTTCCAAGGTTTTTATTGCTTTGGGTTTTATATTTAAGTCTTTAATCCATCGTGAGTTGATCTTTGCATATGGTGTAAGGAAGGGGTCCAGTTTCAATCTTCTGCATATGGCTAGCTAGTTCTCCCAGCACCATTTACTGAATAGGGAGTGCTTTCCCCATTGCTTTTTTCAGTCAGCTTTGTTGAAGATCAGATGGTTGTAGGTGTAAGGCCTTATTTCTGGGTTCTCTATTCTCTTCCATTGGTCTATGTGTCTGTTCTTGTACCAGTACTGTGCTGTTTTGGTTACTGTAGCCCTGAAGTATAGTTTGAAGTCAAATAGCATGATGCCTCCAGCTGTGTTCTTTTTGCTTAGGTTTGCCTTGGCTATTTGGGCTCTTTTTTTTTGTTTCATATGAGTTTTAAAGTAGTTTTCTCTAGTTCTGTGAAGAATATCATCGGTAGTTTGATAGGAATGCCATTAGGCAGTATGGCCATTTGAACAATATTGATTCTTTCTATCAATGAGCATGGAATGTTTTTCCATTTATTTGTGTCATCTCTGATATCTTTGAACAGTGTTTTGTAGTTCTCATTGTTGAGATCTTTCACCTCTCTGGTTAGCTGTATTCCTATGTATTTTATTCTTTTTGTGGCAATTGTGAATGGGACTGCATTCCCGATTTGGCTCTTGGCTTGACTGTTGTTGGTGTATAGAAATTCTAGTGATTTTTGTATGTTGATTCTGTAGGTTTTATAGGTACTCTTTTTCAAATTAAGGAATTTTTTTTCTATTTAAATTTTGCAGTCCTTTAGTCTGAGTAGTAAATGAGTAATGAAAAAAATGAATTTTGCAGTTCTTTTGTAGGAAATAAATTCTAAATTTTGTATTCTTTGTGAATTTTGTTTTGAAGAAAATGTCAAGAACATGGTGAAGAGTGAGACAAAAAATATCTTAAAGGGCAGATAAGAGACATACAAGATATGTTGATAGATGATAATATTGATCCAATAGAAATTCCAGAAAGTCTACACACAGTGAAACGTAGAGTATGGAGGAAAGATAGTCATCCACGAAAATTGTCGGTCATTTACATTTATTTAGAATTTATTTTTTATTTATTCTATTTTGTTCTCAGGGTTCATTTTTAATCTAAAGACTCAGGTCATCTTCAGTTATGAAAATTTCAATTTGCTTGAGTATAAATTTACCTTTATTGTATTCATTAAGTGGAATGCATTTTTTTAGTGATTTAAAGACAAATTGTTTTCAATTCTCGAACATTTTTGGTGAAATCTCTTCAAATATTGTTTCTTCCCCATTTTCTTCATTCTTTTGCTTAGGAAACTATCACATCTAAATTTAGCCTCTCAATCATTTATGTCTCTAAGTGGTGCTTTCAAAATGTTATCCCTTTGCCTATCTGTATTAAAATCTGGGTAGATTCCTTCATGACATCTTCCACTACACAACTTCTTCCCTTTAATGGTAGATGTGGACATTATCCTCTTTATTGTTTTTTAAAATTGTGTGTTATATTTCTCTTTTTTTTAATACTTTAAGTTTTAGGGTACATGTGCACAACTTGCAGGTTTGTTACACATGTATACATGTGCAATGTTGGTGTGCTGCACCCATTAACTCGTCATTTACATTAGGTATATCTCCTAATGCTATCCCTCCCCCCACCCCCCACCCCGCAACAGGCCCCAGTGTGTGATGTTCCCCTTCTTGTGTCCATGTGTTCTCATTGCTCATTTCCCACCTATGAGTGAGAACATGCGGTGTTTGGTTTTTTGTCCTTGTGATAGTTTGCTGAGAATGATGGTTTCCAGCTTCATCCATGTCCCTACAAAGGACATGAACTCATCATTTTTTATGGCTGCATAGTATTCCATGGTGTATATGTGCCACATTTTCTTAATCCAGTCTATCATTGTTGGACATTTGGGTTGGTTCCAAGTCTTTGCTATTGTGAATAGTGCCGCAATAAACATACGTGTGCATGTATCATCACTGGCCATCAGAGAAATGCAAATCAAAACCACAATGAGATACTGTTGTTCTATACATTTAATTGCATCTTCAATGAATTTAAGGTTCTAATTATTTACTTTGTTTTCCCTTTTTAGTGTTAAATTTGTGTTTTAAAACAAACATGTTTATTAGGCAAATTTTGAGTGGAGAAGTTTTTGTTTTTATTGTTGTTATTATTATCATCATTATTATTATTTGATTTTCCTATCTTGTTTCTCCCTCTTGTGGTCTTTAGATTTTGTTGTTCTTCACCTGACTCCAAGGGCCCCTTATAAAAATCAGGTCTTATAACACTTTCTCAGGTTCTGTTGATCAAATTATAGAGCCGGCAAGCATATTGACTTCTTGAAAGTCACTTTATCCAGCAAGCCAATAGTTGTTTTAAAACTTCTTTCATGGCCCCAATCCAAGCCCTGAGCTTCAAACAATCACATCAGTACCACATCTCACAACAACTTGCCTTAACCCCATAAAAGCTAAGTTCCAGGTATTACTGTCTGCTTCCAGACTTGGAGCATATTATGTTTCTGATTCATTTCCAGTGTATGAAGGAGTTGTCACATTTTAAACTCTTTAGGGTTTGCATTTTGTATTTTATCTCTCATATCCATGTATTTGAAGTAGAGGAGAAATTGGGAACCCATCTTGAGCAAAAATCTTCACTCTCTTCTTATGTAAATATGTCATCAGTAGAGTAGGTACAATGATAAAATTGTTCAGTGTCACTGAGCTCAACTTCTGGGAGAAAATAAAGATTGGTGAAAACAGTGGTAAATGAAAGAGGACCAGCCTCTATCTATTGCCTCATTAGATTTAGCTGATTATTGCTTTCAATGAATATCATGAAATGACAAATCTTCTATTTTTCTCAAAAGAATCTAGAGACACCAATTTTATCATGAAATCGCCTAGTTTTTAATATTAGTCAATAACTACAGATTTTAAATATCTCTAAAAGCCAAATTTGTAAGTCAACATCATAGGACTTTGGGCTGGATGTACCCATGAAATACTGATTTGTGGCCTCTGGCATAAAATTCATGCTCTATAATGAAATGTTTTTTATTTTCTCCCATTAGCTGTGAAATTTCTGTCTTAAGTACATCACAAGATTTTTCTGTCACGAGAACATGGAAAGCAATCAGACCTGGATCACAGAAGTCATCCTGTTGGGATTCCAGGTGGACCCAGCTCTGGAGTTGTTCCTCTTTGGGTTTTTCTTGCTATTCTACAGCTTAACCCTGATGGGAAATGGGATTATCCTGGGGCTCATCTACTTGGACTCTAGACTGCACACACCCATGTATGTCTTCCTGTCACACCTGGCCATTGTGGACATGTCCTATGCCTCGAGTACTGTCCCTAAGATGCTAGCAAATCTTGTGATGCACAAAAAAGTCATCTCCTTTGCTCCTTGCATACTTCAGACTTTTTTGTATTTGGCGTTTGCTATTACAGAGTGTCTGATTTTGGTGATGATGTGCTATGATCGGTATGTGGCAATCTGTCACCCCTTGCAATACACCCTCATTATGAACTGGAGAGTGTGCACTGTCCTGGCCTCAACTTGCTGGATATTTAGCTTTCTCTTGGCTCTGGTCCATATTACTCTTATTCTGAGGCTGCCTTTTTGTGGCCCACAAAAGATCAACCACTTTTTCTGTCAAATCATGTCCGTATTCAAATTGGCCTGTGCTGACACTAGGCTCAACCAGGTGGTCCTATTTGCGGGTTCTGCGTTCATCTTAGTGGGGCCGCTCTGCCTGGTGCTGGTCTCCTACTTGCACATCCTGGTGGCCATCTTGAGGATCCAGTCTGGGGAGGGCCGCAGAAAGGCCTTCTCTACCTGCTCCTCCCACCTCTGCGTGGTGGGGCTTTTCTTTGGCAGCGCCATTGTCATGTACATGGCCCCCAAGTCAAGCCATTCTCAAGAACGGAGGAAGATCCTTTCCCTGTTTTACAGCCTTTTCAACCCGATCCTGAACCCCCTCATCTACAGCCTTAGGAATGCAGAGGTGAAAGGGGCTCTAAAGAGAGTCCTTTGGAAACAGAGATCAATGTGAAGAATCATTTGAGATATCCTGAGTGTGTAAGCATGGTTCTCATGACCCTGGGTCCTGAAATTTCCTTTTTAATTCTTTAATTTACCACACCCAATACTGTTTATCTTTAGACTTCTTATAAAAAGAGAAACTGGCCTGGCGTGGTGGCTGAAGCCTGTAATCCCAACACTTTGGGAGGCTGACCTGGGCGGATTACCTGAGGTCAGGAGTTCGAGACCAGCCTAACCAACATGGCGAAACACTGTCTCTATTAAAAATACAAAAATTAGCCGGGCGTGCTGGTGGGCGCCTGTAATCCCAGCTCTACTTGGGAGGCTGAGGCAGGAGAATCGTTTGAACCCAGGAGGCGGAGGTTGCACTGAGCCGAGATTGTACCACTGCACTCCAGCCTGGGCGACAGAGCAAGACTCCCTCTCAAAAATAAATAAATAAATAAATAAAGAGAGAGAAACTAATTACTTTTACTATTTAAGGCATTGATACCAAACCTGAGATAAACTTATGAAACAGAAAATCACAATCTAATCCTACTCATGAACATAGATGCAAACCTCTTAAAGAAAATATTAATGAAACAAGTCCATCAGAATGAAGTAAGGATGTATTATAATGAAACTATGTATACCCTTAAAATGCAGCAATAATTTAACATTAAAACAAACAACAAAAATAACTTCCCCACATTAACAAATTAAAGAATACATTTCATATGAACATCTCAGTAGATCCAAGAAAGTGTTTGACAAGATTTAAGATCAATTCTTTATAAGCTAATATCGCAGTAAGACTTTCTAAACAGAATCTACCAAAAACAAAACAAAAATAAAAACAAAGCAGACGTCATGGTTAATGGTGAAATGTTAGCATCTGTCCTTTTCGGGTAAAGAATCAGACACAAAAAAAATCACTTGTTTTTCTTGATTTCACTTTTTACTAGAGATCCTAACCAATACAGTTAGACAAAAAGAACAAATACACCCATGCATGCGCACACACGCACACACGCACACACACACACACTCACACGTGCACACACATTTGAGAAAGAAGAAACAAACTGTAATTACATACAAATGACATTACTGTATATGTAGGAAATTCAAAAGAATTATAAGAAATTTTAAAGTAGCTTGATACAAAATCAATATAAAAATATATTATATTTTTAAAGCAGTAACAAACAATTAAAATGAAACTTGAAAAAACGCTACCATACACAACAGGATTTAATTCTCAAATGCTTAGGAATAATTATAACAAAGATTATACAAAAGCTCTAAAGAGACAATTAAAAATTTATTGAGAGACTATGGTAAATAAATAGATACACAATGTGTGGTATGCCAAGTTCTTGGACTGAAAAACATAATATTACAAAGATTCAATCTCCTTAAATTGATTATTAGATTTAATACAATCCCAATCAATATCGCAGCAGGGTGTGTGGATGTGTGCAGAACTCAACAAACTAATCTTAAAATTCAAGGGACCAAGGCTAGCTCAAACTCTATTAAAAGAGAAAGAGTACAACGTGGGAGGATTTGATCCTTCAGATATCAAAACACACTATATAGTGCTAATAAACAGAACAGTGTGGTATTTATACACAGATAGACCAAAAAACAAACAGAATAGAAAGAAAATTAGTGTATATTTGCTTTTATTAGCACTTGCTATATTAGAGGTGTGGCATGGCATATCACTGGGGAATGAAAAAGCTTTGAAGTAAATGGTGTTGGGACAACCAAGTCTTTATAAAGATATTCAAATCATGCAGAAAATTCAACTTCTGGTGTATTCAAGATTTAAGTGTCAAAGGCAGAACTCTAAAGCTTTTAGAAGATATACAAGAGAAGGATTTTTTAAACAATACACATAATTGCTATTGTGAAATAATATCTGATATTATAAAATCTTTAAGCTGCATTAAATAAAAATATTAGTGTATGTGACTGGGTTGAAATTAAGAACTTATGTTAATCAAAACAGGGCATAAAAAGTGAAAGGACAAGCCACAAAATCTTCTGGAAGACTTTCTGATTTATCAGCTCTCAAGCAGTACATCCCCAAAGACCAGCATATTTCAGAGTCTCATGCATTGTCTTGACTAGGTGACTTTCAATCATATCTCTTCAGTCTGTCTTTTTATGGCATTATTAAGTACTTGAAGTTTTTCCCTTTATATATTTTTTTCACATGTGTGTTGTCAGTTTACAATCAGTAATATACAAGATCGTCGTACACATCAATTTTGTCTTGTCATAGCTGTGTCTCTAGTATCTAGAGCAGAGCTAGGTACAGAGAAGATTCTCAACAATTATCTGTTGACAGACGACCAATAGGTATCCCCAGGAAAGTGTAAGCCTATCCACATTCTTCCTGAAACCAAGAAGCAACCAAGTTAGGGGGAGAGAGATGCATTTTTATGTTCTATTTATTAATAATTTCTATTTTGCACATGAGAAGATCGAGGAACACAGAGGTTGAGTAACTTACCCTGAGTCATTGAGTTAGCATAATCAATGGAAAATATAGAGTTTAAAAAAATAGGTTCTCTGGCTCCAGAGCTGGTATTCTTTTATTGTTAAACAATAGAAATTTATGTCCAAGATCAGGTGCCAAGCATCGTCGAGCTCTAGTGGGGACTTTCTTCTGGCTTTCAGAGAGTGTCTTCCCACTGTGTCTACACATGGCAGAGAGAGAGAGAGCCCATATTCTCAATACAATACTAACTCTATGTACAACTGTAGCTTACACCAATGACCCATTGATTCAAGACAAAAGATAAACATATCTCCCTTCTACCACCAGGAAGGAAAGTTATCAGGATCATTGAAGGAGGACTTTCTTTCTCTCTTTCTTCCTTTCTTTCTTCTTTCTTTCCTTCCTTCCTTCCTTTCTCTTTCTCTTCCTTCCTTCCTTTCTTTCTCTTTCTTTCTTCCTTTCTCTTTCTTTCTTTCTTCTTTCTCTTTTCTTTCTTCCTTTCTTTCTCTTTCTTTCTTTCTTCTTTCTCTTTTCTTTCTTTCTTTCTTCTCTCTTTATTTTCTTTATTTCCTTCCTTCCTCCCTCCCTCTTTTTTTTAATGAAGGAAACATTATTGTCTCCTATGGAATTCTCAACTGTGAATACTCTATTGGAAATAATTATTATTATATTGGACCACTGTCAATGAAGGGAATTAATATTCCCTTCAACCATGAGATCTAGTGATCATTAATTACCATGTGAGATATGGGGGGTGGTAGTTTTATAAACTTAACAAAAAAATTATTTGTCAAAATGTAAGTAAAAGAGAACTTATATTAAAGGTAATATAGACACTAGGCTTGAAAAACTAAAATTAGTAGGGGAAAAAAGATAAATCATTCAGGTAAAAAGAACAGCAAGAGTCATCATAATGTATGGCATCTACAAAAATTAAGATAAGACAAAAGTAGGATAAAAATAGAATTTTTAATTCTAAAATCACCTTAAAATAAATTTTAAAATGAAAACAGAATAGAAGGTTTTTGACAATACAGTATATGAATCATTTTCAGATTTTGTTGTAATGAGAAAATTTTCTGACATAACAATGTCTAAAACTAATAAAGAAACAAGAGAAACTTATTTTTTGTCTTTCCCCCTTTTATCAAGAAGAAAAATCTTTTCCAGAAAGACTTACTCTCAGCAGATTGTTTGCTCGTATTGCTTTGGCCAAGAATGAGTCAAATGGAAGTCCTTAATCCACTTACTAACAAAGAAGATGAGATCAAATTCTTGGCTTATATCAGTCATGGTTTAATCTCCCCTGGCTCATAGCAAGGACCATGTTCTCTGATATCTGCACTGCCTGAGAATCAGTATAGGGTCAGTAAGGAAGTGGGCAATGACCACTGAGCACACAACTGGCTTATCGGCCAAATGGTTTAAATTCTGAAGCTAACCTCTTGAAAAGAAGTAGGCCATTGAAGTGTGCAAATTTTCTCATCCATCAATTTTTGGGACCCAAATGATACTCTGTGAAAATAAGGCACAATGTTTAAAACTATAATGGCTACAATCTGTAAATATAATAAAAAATTATTCTCACACCAAAGGGACTCCTTTAAGAACCTAATCTGATACTGCTTAAAAAAAAAAGATTCTGAATTAGAATAAGTATTTTAGTTACACAGTAGATGCTCTTCCTTCTGCTATATTAAATATATACATATATATACTTCAAAAAGCGTGAGGAGTATGAAAACAGTTTTATAAATATATCTAAGATTGTCAGTTTATCCTTCTAGCCATATGTTTCTTTAAGATCACAGAAGTATCTTCAATTCAATTAACCAAATGTGTAAGGGATGTGATTGTATTTTCCCTGTATTGCCTAACTTATTTTCATATTGGGCAAATGTTCTTTTTACACAAAAAATAAAAGTCAAAATGCTTTCCTGAAATATTGTCGGATCTCATTTTTGCTAAATTATTTATCTGTCTGTCCTACTGTCTTTGCATCTGTATATGTTAATGAAGAAATTTGGGGGATATTGAGCTATCAATCAGAATTATTTCTGGGTGCTGTGACCTAAAATAATTTTAATTTTTTTCATTGAACTTTAAAAAATGTCTTTATTTTGTACATGTTGAGCTTAAGTCCTTCTTACCAAAAAGAAGGCAGTTTTTTTTCCCTTGAAGTGGGTAGGGAGACAGGATGATAAAGAAGTATTAAGACTTTTAAGAAACAGGCAACGTGAGTACAGATTTCCTGTTTACCACCAGCATGTGAGCAAAGGGAATGCAGACAATTTTCTCTCTTGATCAGTCGTATCCCTCATGCCTATAACCTGAACTATGCCTGACACATTACTAGTGTATGATAAACATTTGATTAAGGTAGACACTGGGGGCCAGCACCAACTTTCTAACTGTTGAACAAAGTGGAATGCAATACTATTGTCCCATTAATAAGCCCAAACATGGAGACTAAATCGCTGGAGAAGTCTGTGGCTGTAAGAGAGAAAGGCAACATCCCCCTTCAAGCCTGTTCATCTACAGTATATCAACAGTGGCAGCAAGTTAGAAAACTCTCTATTTGGCAGTATTTTTCTCTCACTTGATTTTCTAGGAAGGAAGTATGTATTCATTAGAATGCATCAGCTGCAAGTAACAAAAGTCAAGTTAATTAATTGCCCCTTCCCTCCTCTGCATGGATTCTTTGTGCCAATTGCTAAGACTGCCTACCTCTTCCACCCCCTCATATGATACATCCATTCCAACTTTTTATTGAAGACTTCCCTTAATAGTCTGCTATTCTCTTTCTGTCTGGACTGGTTCCATCCCAACAATTCCATCTGCCTTTACCTTCTGTTGGACTCTCCAGTTCATTAATCATGCCATCCTCTTTTTTGATTTACTCCTTTGTTTTGATGGAGCACCTCCTACAAAAGCTTTATAAGGTTAAGGTGAGATGCAATCACAGAATTGATGGCAAAAACAGCCCTTAACATTTCAAATCCCTTCTCATCATTTATATTATTTTATCTTCTTCAATAACCCATTGAAATCCTATGAAGGAAGTAGAATTTTTAAAAAAGAAATAAAAACAGTAAAAACTCAAGCCCTGCAAAGGAGCTATTTCTCTCTCGAGACAGCAAATGTTAAAATATGCTTAGGCCAGCTGTAGGTATAGTAATTGATATAATCCACAAACACCTACTTCAAAATTGACTCACTTAATAAAGGTCCATCACCACTGATGGAGCCATGTATACTTTACAGTATTTATTATTGCTAAAATATAAAATGTTAATCAGTGTAAATTTAACACTCACAAGAAGTCTAAGACTTTCCATGAAAAATGTTTTGCTGTCACCTTTTCAAAGATTAGAAGCAAAAATAGACAAATTATGATATATGAGTTCGTATCTATAGTAGACTGTGTTAAATGTCATTATATTGTACTCAACAAAAGGAATAAAATTGTGCTACTAATGCCAGTCTGAACAAATATGCAGCAGAATATTATTCTTAGCTCTATCCAGGTGTTGGTGAGTCAAATTTATTTTTCTGTAATAACCTCATATGAAAGATGAGCAATAAAAAATACTAAAAGTAAAATATTACTTAAACACAATCTTGAAGCATTCTTATAATAAGTGCTCCTTTGGTCTATCACAGAAGGGAGACTGATTTGGGCTGAAGTAGTTGAAGAGGGCTCCATGAGTGCTTTGAAGGATTGGTGTTATGTATGAATTCAAGTGGGTAAAACAAGATTAAATGGACTTGAAACAAGGAATAGGAATTTCAAGAATGGGAGCTGCTGGGAGATAGTACTTGAAGGAAATAGAGTGTGTGCATTGGAGAATAAGGAGGTAAGTGGAGGGAAGCTCTACTGGCCCACAGATCATTTTAAAAGAAAAATAACCCCATTAGCCTCCTCTTGAATAGATATATTTTAGTGTTCTCCACAATAGATTAAATACATTACTATTCTTGTGAAGTGCTTCTTCCACCATAGTTCAAAAACTAAAACTCTATAGAGAACTAGATTGAAAACAGACATGTAGTAAGAAAGAACTGGAAGGATTTTTGCAATCATCACTCAGTGAAAATGAGAGAAAGAGAGAGAGGAAAAAGCATGCTCATTTTATCTGTAGACCCTAACTTAGGATGAGGAAATCAAAATGTGGCTAAGAAATTTAGAGATGTTTGAGATAAAGACACATTGACGAAATTTAAGGAAGAAGATGAGGTATACCTGAACTGCAGAGTCAAAAATATTTGTAAGTGAGAAATGTGGAATGATTACCAAGAAGTCACGGCCTCTCCTCTACAGTCAAACAGCAGGAATTGGAAAGTGGGGCAATTTTAAGGCTGATAAAATAAGTAAGTTTTAAGAGAATTTAATTGATATACTATCTTGAATATTTTGTTTTCTCTCCAAGGTCTTATCTCATATACAGAAATCCTGTCCCCATCCAATTTCAAGTTAACACACTAAAATAAATCCCATGAGAATACAGAAGGAACAAAATGAATAAACATGTGAGATGCTTTGATTGGTTTACTTGCTAATAGAAAAGCAATAAATTCTATAATTCCCTCTAGGGAGAATGTGAGTAGATGCAATCTCACATGGTTCTGTTCACTGAATCATTATTTTTGTCTGGAGAGTTAGTTGTAGACAAATGATAATAGAAAAAGCCCTGGCTTGCACAAACTAAGTCTATCATAAAGTTCAGGAGAGCTCTGTTGCTGGGCTTCACCTCCCAAGGAGGCCCCTTTAGAGACAAGAATCAATCTCAGTCTATTTATCCTTCCCTCCTGTCATTGAGGTTTCTTCTAAGCCTAAGGCTGTGTTTGAAGAAAAGACTACATATTATGCCACTGTAAGTAAAAGTGGCTCATTGACGCTGAGAAGAAGTTTGCAGGTGGGAAAAGGGAACCAGAAGTGAATGACATTTCCAGCTTAAGGTATTTTTGACAAAACACTGCCCTCGTGTAGTTTCCTTCTGGCCCTAAGCCTATGTTTATAACTGGGGTCCTGAGAGGAGCTCTGGGGACCACTACTGGTCCTTACAACCATGGGGTGGCCATGGTTCCTCTCACCCTCCTGGTCCCTCATCCTCACATGCCAGTGCCTGGCTTTGTCATGACTCCGCCAGAGAAGAGGAAGAGATAATATCATGTAGGATATTATCTGGCTAAAGGGCTAAAAAGAACTCCAGAGACTACATGGCCCAGGTTCCTCTTCTTACAAATAAGAAAACACTAAATCAGAGTTATCAAGTAGTTCACTTGTCCTGAGATTGATTGATCTTCCTTCTGCCATTGCTAACTGTCTGCCCTTCCGATTCTTGAACCATTGTCTGGCTAACTAGGACCCACTGCTCAATTGTTCAAGACAGAGATGCCACTCTCTCATAGGGCAACCCAGTGCCTGTGGGGAAAAGATTCTCTTTTTGTTTCCTTATTTAGCAGAGGAACTGTTAAACATATAACGCATTTCCTTGTTATTATTGGACCCAGAAGTCACTTTCCAATGATTGTTGCAAATCATCAATAATGGTTTTTATGCACTTATTAAGTGTCTTATGATAGATAACTCATTTAATCCTCACAACCATCCTATAAGGTAGGGTTTGTTACCCACCCCATTTTGCAGATGGGGGCACTGAGGCACAGTAAGGCACAGAAAAGTCGTAAATTTAGTGTGTAGCAAAGCCAGGATCTGAACCCAGGCAATAGGGCTCTATCTAGAATCTTTGCTTGTTTTTTTTCTAAATTATGCTATTCATTAGGATCAAATTGAGTATCAAAGTAACTACTGAGATGGTAAGTAATTTTTGAGTGATTGCAAATATTTGAAAAATCTGTGCTGTCCCAGAACCCCGTCTTTGATAGCCATGGCTTCCATTCTGACTAAAATATCAATAAAAATGTTTACTTTTGATCGGTGTTAAATATCCTAAATATGTCCCCTTTTCTTCCATAAGATTCTCTCTCTCTCTCTCTCTCTCTCTCTCTCTCTGTCATAGGCATGGCAGAATAGCACTTTGAGTTTTGAAAACTTGTATTTTCTTCTTTAATACAGGAATGAGGTTACATTAAATGATTCTTTTCATCTCTTCAAGTTTCTTTTTAAACTTAATTTTATGAATCAAAATAGAAAAACAATGGCAATGAAAGCAAAATGTGTTTTGATTTAAATTCAAAAATAACCAAAAAGGAATGCAAAATAAATGTGAAAGAGTTTGCAAAACTGTAATGATTGCATTGGATTTTTAATTCCAATGATTTAGATTCTTTCCTCAATTTTGTGGTCTCCATAATGCTGTTAATAACAGCTAACATTTATTAAACCATTAACAGGTATCCTAGTGGTACTCATTCTTCACATCAGCCCTTTAGATATCTGTTGTCATCATTTTACAGATGAAAATAGTGAGGTTCAGAATAAGGTACTCAACTTTGTAATGTTCACCGTTCAGAATCAAGGTCAGAATGATTGTCTAAAGAGCACTGCTAACAATGCTTATCTCATTGTTCTTCAGAGATCATATTTTTTTTCAATTACTGCTACTTTTGTCATGCTATGGAAGAATAGAGAACAGTATCCATGAAGGCTTTTTCCTCATTCTATGCACTGAAGATCTTTCTTTGATGTGTAGCTGGAGTACACTCTCAAAGAAAACTTTATTTCAGGCAACTGTGTCTTTATTGTATCTGCTCAGGCTTTTTACTCAGAGAAAAAAATAATACTGACTTCTTAAACTATGAAATCCAAAATGCAAAACCATGCCAATAATGAAAAAAAATGTGTTCAGTTTATAGTATACTTTTCTATCATCCTTGGCTTCACAAATGAGCTGATACAACATTAGTGTGTGTGAAGAATCACCATTATGGAGTTGTCACCTTATGACCCTTGCTAGCAAACTCTTAAATGTACATTTGACATCTCATGTTAGATGTGGTTTGGATGCAGTTCACATCTAATTAAATAAGACTAACAGTTCTATTTGCTCCTTTATTTATTCCATTCCTTTAGAAATAGTTTATTTTGGCTACTACTTTCTTTCAGAAATGTCATACCAAAAAAATCACATGTAAAATTCTATAAATGCAGATTATTTTACTTATAAACTTTGATTAGTCAAACAATTCTAACCATTTGGCAAAAGGAAGCTCATGATGCATTTGTAACTGCTGAGGCATCCAAGTGCTTGCTACCCTGGGTCCCTGAACTGGGTGCAGAAACACAGAGATGCACACAGCACAGTTGACAGCCACGGGGTTTGTCACATCCCACTCCCAGGATTCTGTCTCAGGCTGCCCTCCCTCTGTAAGTTGTGACCCTGCTTCACCTCTGGGAGGTCTCCTATGTCTCATCGAAAGACTATCTTTGGAAAGAAATTTAGTCTTTTCAGTTCCCTGTTTCTTTCTTTTGATTTTTAACCGGAAATTCCCAGAAGCTACTTTACAGATGAGAAAATTAAAAGACATTGAAATGTAGTTCTCTGTATGATGAAGCTCATTTTCTTTGACCTGTGCAGATTTATAACTTGGCTTTGCTTCTGCCCTTGTTCATAATTTGGTGGACGTGGCAAAAATTTTCAACCTGGTTTAAGATCCACTTCCACTTTTAGTCAATAGATGATGTTGATTGTTTCTCTATCAGGACAACTCGGGAAAAAAGTACATGCTTCTGTAGGAGAAGTGATACTGAGATTTTTCAATTTCTACTTACTTGTTAAGGATTAATACTTTCCCATAATTTAGTGACATTTCTCCCATTTGAAGCTCTAAGAAAGTCTTCTAAGTTCAGATGTTCCTGTTAAAACTTGGTGAGAAGACCGGGCACAGTGGCTCACACCTGTAATCCCGGCACTTTGGAAGGCCAAGGTGGGTGAATCACTTGAGGTCAGGAGTTCGAGACCAGCCTGGCCAATATGGTGAAACCCCATCTCTACTAAAAATACAAAAATTAGCCAAGCATGGTGGTGCATGCCTGTAGTCCCAGCTACTCTGGAGGCTGAGGCAAGAGAATTGCTTGAGCCCAGGAGGCAGAGTTTGCAGTGAGCCGAGATTGTGCCACTGTTCTCCAGCCTGGGCAACAGAGCAAGACTCCATCTCAAAAACAAAAAAACAAACAAACAACAACAAAAAAAACAACTTGGTGAGATGCATAGAAATAGTGTAAACTTTAACTCTGTATTTCACTGTGAAGTTTTTCTAAATAAGAAATGCCCTGTTTTGTTTCCTGTAAAGCACAAAGTTCATTAAAAACAAATGAACAGGTGTGCAATTTATACAAAAGATAAGTCGCTGAATATTCCAACTTTGTAGAGATCATCAGTATAAATAATTTCATGCTTAAAGAATTTTCCTGCATATATGTGAATAGATACAAAAGACCTAAATATGTTTATATTCTAAAATATAAATCAGGTCATATAATACACACATACGTTAACTTCATGGAATGACCTAAAGATCAAAATTGTCCTTTTTCATGGCTGCATGGTATTCTGTGTTGTAATAACAGCCAAATGAAAATAATTGATCCCCAACTGATAAACTTTTAAGTTGATTCCAATCTTTTTATTTTTTTATTTTTTAAATTTTTGTGGGTATATAGTAGGCATATATATTTATGGGGTACATGAGATGTTTTGATAGAGGCATGCAATCTGAAATAAGCACATCATGGGGAATGGGGTATCCATCCCCTCAAGCATTTATCTTTCGAGTTACAAATAATACAAATACAATTACACTCTTTAAGTTATTTTAAAATGTACAATTATGTTATTACTGACTATAGTCACCCTATTGTGCTATCAAATCATAATTCAAAATTTTTAAATATATAAACAAGATTACGAAGAATAAGTATGACCTTTTGCTCACTATGCTTCAGTTTCATTGTGTTTCTTTCTCTTCCCAGAAGTCACCAAGCGCTTCTTGCCCAGAGACTTTGCCTTTACTGTTCCCTTACTGTTCCCTGTGAAGAGAATGGTCCTCCTTTGGCTCTGGGCAGGGTTGCGGCCTTCATTGTTTAGGTTCCTTTCACCTGACTCTGCTTGAGAGAGACCTTTCCTGACCATCTCATCTAAAGGAGTCTTCCTCAAACCAAGCAACTTTCTATTATTTTACCCAGATTATTTTTTTACTGTTCTTTTCACAGTCAGCAATTATTTACTCATTTACTCCTGGTGTTTTAGTGGTAGTAACTAACCATTCCCTCTCTCTGCTCCAGAAAAAAATCAGTTAAGAAATGCACACAAGAATCAGATATAATTTTAAAATATATATATTTTATATATTTTGCTAGTAAGGCTTATTGAAAAGCATGGTTCATATCTTCAAAAAAATTTCTCTCCAAATTAAAATCATAACCATTAGCTGACACCTCTCCCGACCTCCAAATGGGAAGAAACATGTTCCTGATGCCTTATGCTAAAGGGGGTGGAAATTCGTGTGGGTGAAACAGAGAAGGGGTATCCTTAGTTTCTCTTTCTGGTTCACAATCATATAAATTAGGGGACAGAGAAAAGCAGGTATATTCCAAGACAATTTCATCCAGGGGCATAACAATTTCCTCCTCTAAATGGGAATGTGAGGAGTTGAAGAGAACACTGCCTTAACTTCACTTCTTCATGACCTGGTCCCCTTCTGAATGCATCTACCTCCACCACTGTGCCTCCTGCGCTTAGAACAGTGGCTAAAACAGATCATGCACTCCAGGATCGTTTGTTAAAGGATGGATGAAGTACAAATTGACACTGGATAATATTGTTCTCTTATCGAATTAGCAAAGGTTGAAAATAAAAATACATGGTTGTGATGACCATGTGGGAAAGAGGCATGATTCTGAGGTACACATCAGTGATATATTATATTGGTATAAAATAATAGAATTTATATAGATAAAAATTAGTAGAATTTGTATTGGTAAATTTTCTGAAGCAAAGCTGGAAATAGATATCAAAAGCTTTGAAATTTCAATATATTTAGCACCTGCAAATTCACTTTTAGAATACATTCTCAATTAAAAATCATCAATATAAGCCAAACATAAGCTTGTAAGAATATTTATCTCAATGCTACCAAACATAAGAGAAATAGAAACCAAAAATTTCTGACAAGAAAAATGATTCAATAAATTATAATAAAAAGGATATTGTACTGCTTTTATATATTATTATATATTTGTATATTGCCTTTTTATTTTTTGTATATTATATATTTACTATTTTGATTTACAGACTTGAAACTATTTTCCTACATTTTCTTCCATTTTAATTCTTTCACGTGTGACTAAATTTTAGCATCAAGTGCTGATGAAGAATTAAATAAAATACTTGAAATAGAACTACAAACCCTAGAGATGGAAAATAGGTACCAGAGGTGCTTCCAGGGAGTATGGGCCAGTGGCTGAAAAAATGACGGTTGTAGGAAGTTTTAAAGAAATTACAAAGTTGAAAAGCTATTTACAAAAGATTTTCAATCTTAAATATGAAAGTAGAATTCATGTGAGAAGGTAAATGGGTTGCTAAGCAAGAATATGAAGAACAGAATGCCCTAACCACTTCATACTGGGTAGAAAAACTCAAGCATGCCCAGGATATAAAACCATCTTGTATTGCAGCATTTTGTCAGTGTCATCTCTAATTTCACTATGTTAATAACTAAGGATTCCACCCTATAAAAGAAGCAGAGTACCTGAATTCTCCTAAATGACACGTGTTTCCATGCATGTATGTGTATACAGTAATACAAGATATATTATATTACACCTTATGTTAATTTTTTTTTTATATAAGAAGTATTATAGCTATACTTTTTTTCCGATTACTCTGTTGGTAGAAGAGGATTTTTTTAATTTCATGAGCATAATTGAGTTGGTTCCAGTAACATATTTGAAAACAAATTCAACAAAGAATCCATTCAAAATAATACATTTCTTAATGCTCCCTCTGAAACACTCAGCAAATATTGTGCATCTTTGACCCACAGCTCTGACCTTCCTGTCCTAGATGAGGGTTTGTCTTTCTCTGCCACAAGAGCATGGAAGGCAACCAGACATGGATCACAGACATCACCCTGCTGGGATTCCAGGTTGGTCCAGCACTGGCGATTCTCCTCTGTGGACTCTTCTCTGTCTTCTATACACTCACCCTGCTGGGGAATGGGGTCATCTTTGGGATTATCTGCCTGGACTCTAAGCTTCACACACCCATGTACTTCTTCCTCTCACACCTGGCCATCATTGACATGTCCTATGCTTCCAACAATGTTCCCAAGATGTTGGCAAACCTAATGAACCAGAAAAGAACCATCTCCTTTGTTCCATGCATAATGCAGACTTTTTTGTATTTGGCTTTTGCTGTTACAGAGTGCCTGATTTTGGTGGTGATGTCCTATGATAGGTATGTGGCCATCTGCCACCCTTTCCAGTACACTGTCATCATGAGCTGGAGAGTGTGCACGATCCTGGTTCTCACGTCCTGGTCATGTGGGTTTGCCCTGTCCCTGGTACATGAAATTCTCCTTCTAAGGTTGCCCTTCTGTGGGCCCCGGGATGTGAACCACCTCTTCTGTGAAATTCTGTCTGTCCTCAAGCTGGCCTGTGCTGACACCTGGGTTAACCAAGTGGTCATATTTGCTACCTGTGTGTTTGTCTTAGTCGGGCCTCTTTCCTTGATTCTGGTCTCCTACATGCACATCCTCGGGGCCATCCTGAAGATCCAGACAAAGGAGGGCCGCATAAAGGCCTTCTCCACCTGCTCCTCCCACCTGTGTGTGGTTGGACTATTCTTTGGCATAGCCATGGTGGTTTACATGGTCCCAGACTCTAATCAACGAGAGGAGCAGGAGAAAATGCTGTCCCTGTTTCACAGTGTCTTTAATCCAATGCTGAACCCCCTGATCTACAGCCTGAGGAATGCTCAGTTGAAGGGCGCCCTCCACAGAGCACTCCAGAGGAAGAGGTCCATGAGAACGGTGTATGGGCTTTGCCTTTAAAACATGTGGTTTGCTGAAGCAAGAATTTTGAATATATTTTGTAGAAGAAGTTTAATATAAAAATGGTGAGTGATTGAATTCAAGCTTTGAAAATAGGGCAATATTCAATGGAATGTATGTTCTCTAAAATCGAGGAATCATCTCAGTAGATAGGAGAGCAAAATTATCAGAATATTTAGCCTTTCCTTTAAAAGTGTTAGAACATCTTTTTGCTTTTATTTTTATTTATTTACTTTTTATGTCACAGTGCCATTTTATATAATTTCCTGAAATAGGCAAAATGAAACTCTGATGTTAAAGGAGATAACAGCATTGTTTCATAATAGCTAAAACCTGAAAAGAATCCAAATATCTATCAACAGGGAGAAGTTGAGTAACTTGTATATTCACACAGCAGAATACTAAGTAACAAAGAAAATGAATGAACCTCAACATACAGTAACATGGATGAATATTACAAACACAAAATCTGGAGTGATACAGATCTGGAGTGATACAAAATCTGGAGTGATAGAAGCCAGACACAAAAGGATGTATGATTCCACGCGTACATAAATTTCAAACATAGGCAATAACTAAACTATAACGTTAAAGCTAGGATATTAGACATCATTAGGATGAAGGGAGTAGATAGTGACTGGGAGGGGTAGGAAGGCAGCTGGGTAATGGCCATTTACTGATAATCCCTTGCACTATACATTTATGCTTTGTGTACATTTCTCTTGTGTACATTTTAAAAATAATTTCTACATTTATTTTAGATTCAGGTTGTACATGTGCAGGTTTGTTACATGGGTGTATTGTGTGATGATGAGGTCTGTGGTACAGATGATCCCTCCCCCAGGTACTAGGCATAGTACCCAATAGGTTTTTTTTCGGTCCACACCCCCTTCCTCCTTACACTCTCTAGTAGTCCCCAGTGTCTACTTTTCCCATCTTTATGTCCATATGTACTCAAAGTTTAGCTCCCAGTTATAAATGAGAACATGTGGTATTTGGTTTTCTGTTCCAGTATTAATTTGCTTAGGATAATGGCTTCCATTTGCATACATATTGCTGCAAAGGACATAATTTCATGTTCATTGGCTATGTAGTATTCCACGGTGTATATGTACCACATTTTCTTTATCCAGTCTACTTCTGATGGCCACCTAGGTTGATTCCATGCCTTTGTTATTGTGAATAGCACTGTGATGAACATACACGTGTATGTGTTTCTTTGATAGAAATATTTCTTTTCCTTTGGGTATATACCCTGTAATGGGATTGTTGAGTTGAATGGTAGTTCTATTTTTAGTTCTTTAAGAAACCTCCAAACCTCTTTCTGCAATGACTGAACTAGTTTACATTTTCACCAGCAGTGTATAAGTGTTTCCTTTTATCTGCAGCCTTGCCAACATCTGTTATGTTTTGACTTTTTAGTAATAGCCATTCTGACTGATTTACGATAGAATGTCATTGTGGTTTTGATTTGCATTTATCTGATTATTAGTGAAGATGAGCATTTTTTCATGTTTGTTGGCTGCTTGTATGTCTTCTTTTGTAAAGTGTTTGTTTATATTCTTTGCCCATTTTTAATGGGGTTGTTTTTTGTTTGTTGATTTGTTTGTTTCTTATAGATTCTGAATATTAGACCTTGTTGGATGCATAGTTTGCAAATTTTTTCTCACATTCTTTAGACTGTCTATTTATTCTGTTGATAGTTTCTTTCGCTGTGCAGAATCTCTTTAGTTTAATTACATCCCATTTGTCAATTTTGGTTTTTTACAATGGCTTTTGGGGACCTTGCCAACAATTCTTTGTCAATGCTGATGTCAAGTAGGGTATTTTCTAGATTTTCTTCTAGAATTTTTATAGGTGTGATTTTACATTTAAGTCTTTAATCCATCTTGAGTCATTTTTTATATATGGTGAAAGTAGGGGGTCCAGTTTCACTCTTCTGCATATGGCTAGCCAGTTATCCCAGCACCATTTGTCAAATAGGAAGTCCTTTCCCCATTGCTTATTTTTGTTGACTTTGTCAAAGACCAGTGGTTTTAGGTGTGCAGCTTTATTTCTGGGTTTTCTATTCCGTTCCGTTGGTCTGTATGTCTGTACAACATCTTGTATCCCTTGATGAAATAATTTAGGAGTAAAAGGGAATAAGATACGGAAAGCTTTAGATCAATACTAAACTGTGTAAAAAACCCTAAAATATATTAAAGCTTTAGGATTTGGTAAAATGAAGAAAATCCATGAGTAAATATTCAAATGGCCCAGGAGACAACAATGGTTTTGAGCATTATTCAAACTTTACACTTACTCTTGGGTGATGCTAATTACTGAAAAGGCAAGATTTAATCACCTGTTGAAGCTCTTGAAATTTTTTTCATCAATACTTTTTAATGTTTGAACCAACTTGTATGTAGATGGTGACACCAAACATCCCAACACAGCTTTGTTATAACCAACATCATTTATCTTTCATGGTGGCAAAAGATCTCCTAGATTCATGAGATCGGATTGAAATGTTGTGTTTATGATGCTGATGGTGATAAAATAAATAATGAATACTCTTTGTGTAGTTGTTAGCTAAGGCAGTATATTAATAAATCAGTTTTACAAGTATTATCTTTATTTAGGATTTTAAAAACTGTGATTTCCTTTGGATGTACAATACTGTCAAGTTATTAATTTCTTTTTCAATTATTATTAGGGTGTCTGACACAGTTGGTAAATTTTTATATTTTTATAACACACTAAAACTATGATCTACCAAAAAGTCAAATTTTTACTAAAGGTGTAAATATTTAAACTTTTAGCAAGGAGACATGGTTGTTTCAAAGCTATCAGGTTAACCATTTCAGCAGATTAATATTGGAAAAAGAGGTAATTTCTACATATATATTTAACATTTATGGCATATACAATGCAAAGGATACATTGATTATTTTTAAGTATACAAGTGATAATAAAGAATGACATGTCAGGGTTAACTAACAGAATGTACCTCAAACTAAAGGAGGAGTCATTTAGAATTTGAACAAGTTATAGACAATCACGAGGTTCACCTTGATCAGAAGAAGAAAGCAGGTAAATGAAGTGGGTTAGAGCAATATTTAACAGTAAATATGGGGGGCAGATAGTCAAGCTTTGATAGGCATTAGTATAGTTGGCCAAGGTCAGTTATTTTTATGAATATTAGGACTTTTACCACATGAGGGCCCTTTTAGACAGAGCTTGCCAAGGCTTTCATCAGTTTGGGTAAGATTACTATGGAAATGAAGTGTAGAATGTCATACAGAAGGTCGTGAACTATGGTAAGTAAACAATGTCTTGTGATGAATTCATAGTTGTTTGTAGGCATATCTATAGCACATTGTTTTTCATGTACAAACCATGAGAAAAGTTTAGCTTATTTTTTAATGCTCTTCTCCAGGATTTGCTGTAATGTATGATAAGAAAGGAGAAGCCTATTCAACACTTGGATCTCAGCTATGGGCTACTCAGCTCAGAAAGAAGTTGCATTAATCAAATATGGGACATACCAAACAGGACTATTTTTATCATTTTTTAATAAAAAGAAGGAACAAATCATCATGGATACTTAGTAATATATGGAAAACCCTAAATATAATTTAAGTGTAGAAGCCATGAAAAGAGTTTTATTACTTGAAACCTAGGAGTCATATTAGGAAAGAAAAATGAAAGAAAGAAGAAAGAAAGAGAGAAAGAAAGAAAAAAGAAAGAAAGAAAGAAAGGGAAGGAGAGAGAAGTTGTTAGATAAAAATCAGTTATCATATTGAAATTAGGTCATATTTTTAGGTGTTGAAAGACAACAAAGTCTTCAGCCTTGCTGTAGAATAACAATATTTAATCACCAGTAAGATGTTTTTAAAATTTTGTTATGAGAAACTCTTTTAAATACAAAAGTCTGTCAAGAGCATACAGTATATAAAATGTCAATCTATTGTTGAACTATTACATTTCTTCTTTATATTATTAGTAGGCATTTCATCTACTAAGCTTGATAACATGTGATACATAACACATGCTACAACATCAATGAACCTGAACGACATTATGCTAATAAAATAATCCAGTCACAGAAGAACAAGTACTGCATGATTCTACTTATAAGAGTTATCTGAAAATAGTCAAATTCATAAAAACGGCATAGATTCTTGTTGCCAGGGACAGAGGGCAAGGGGAGACATGAAGTTGCTATTGAATGAATATGCATTTTCAGTAATGCAACATGAGTAAGTTCCAGAGATCTGGTGTACAACATTACGCCCTATAGTTGATCATACTACATAGTGCAATTAAAAACTTCTTAAGAGAGTAGAACTCATGTTAAAGCCTCTTGACAAAATAATAAATAAATAGATGATAAATAAACAGATAGATAAATAAGAAATCCTAACCTATGTCATTCAGGAAAGATTAGGGACTTGGTTGGGATACATTCCTTTATAATTTATTTTAATTGAGAACTTCTGGAAATATGATGCCTTAATACAGGGGAATAAATCTCAGTCACTCTGAAAGCCCAAAGGATAAGATGCTGTGGGGAGAGAAATGTATTTTATTGACACCTTTCAAGTCATGAAAACAACTTTACCTAATTATACAGCTTATAATATACACTGAAATAAAATACTCTTACATTTCTCCATGCTTAGTATTATTCATTTGTAATTATCCCACCTGTGTATCACAAAACATAAACTTTACAATCCAAGTCATTTAAGTACTGTGTGCTTCTAAGTAACTCAGAGTGTGATGAACTTGAACTGTAATTTAAATAAAAAATAATTTTAAGATAAAATGTTTTGTATTAGCTAAAATCAACATTAAGAAGGAAAAACAAAATATTAGTAAGTCAAATTTCGCAAAATAAAGTAGTAGCAGATTATGATTAAGTTGTTTTTATCCCCAGAAAGTAGGAAATATTTAACATGAAAGCAAATAATGAATATAATTTGTCACATTAATAAATTAAAGGATGCATATAATATGGCCATCTCGGTAGATCGAGAAAAGTATTTAACAAAATTCAACGCCAAGTCATGATAAAACTTTTTATAACTTATATGGCAGTAAGCCTTCTTAAAGATAACCTACAAAAAAAAAAAAAAAAACACCAAACAAACAAAAAACGCAGCAGATAGCCTACTGAATGGTGAAATGCTAGCATCTTTCCATTTAATATAAAGGACAAGGTAAGGATGCACATCATTGTCACTTTTTTTCCTTTTTCTCAGTTTCTTACTAAAGATTCCTACCAGTACAATTAGGCAAAAGGAATAAATAGACACCCATGCGTGTGCGCGCACACACACACACACACACACACACATTTGAGAAAGAAGAAACAAACTGTAATTAACGCAAAGGACACAATTGTCAGATATGCAGAAAATCTAAAATAATCTTCTAACATATTATTAAAATTATATGAAAAGTTAAGGTAGCTTGTTACAAAATTGATATGAAAATCTATTATATTTTTGAAAAGCAAAAACAATTAAAATAAAATTTTACAAAATTCATACAAGGATGTACCAAGAAACAAACTGAATAGAATATAAATTATGGAAGTAGATTTATGCCTCTTTTAGCTCTTGCTAAACTACAGGTAGCACAGCATGATCAATCATTGGAGAAGGAAGGACTTTGCAGTAAATGGGGCTGGGACAATTGAGTCTCCCTAAAAATACTCAAAGCCTGCAAAATCACTCAATTCCTGTGTATTCAAGACCTTTGAATATTCAAGACCTATTTCAAAGACACAAATATAATGTTTTTATGACATATCTAAGGGAAGATTTTTAAAAATAATGCACAAAGTTGCTTTTGTAAAATAATATACCAAGTTGAAAAATCTTCAGATTGCATTAAAAGCAAATATTGATAAATTGGACTAGATTGGAATACTGTTGACAAGTTATGAAATAGATTTATTTTTGTTTCATTTTGCTTTTAGAAATCAGGGATTCATCGTTTCATAAGCTTGAAGTTTACAATCAGAAGGTATTTTTTCATATTTAAATTACATCACTGTACTTCCTTTATTACATGTTTTAAGACAAATGGTAGCTAGGAATGCCCAAATCTTTTTGTGAGAAGATGGCAAACCAATATTTGAAAGCAAATGGCACAGAGCATTTTATCCATGGAATATTATGCACCAGGGAGCTGGGAGACACTGAGAGAATGTTTATGTACAGGTATATGAAGGCTAGAAATGGGTGTGTTGATTTAAAATTGGCTGAAGAGAAACAAGAAAGGGAGAAGAAAATCATAACACATACTGTTACACAACAATTTATTTCAGGGTAAGAAAAGAAGCTTGATAGATGTAAAATGTTCTGAGATGACAAATTAAGATAACTCAGTCTCTGAATATTGGAGTAATTCTCAGCTTTAGAACTTTCCTGCCCTATTAGGGTATGTGATTCCCCTCTTTACACGGAAAAAGTTTCTCCACTATAAGAACTCCAACTTGTCCTGAGGCTTAGTTATTTATAATCTTTCCTTGTGATTCCCTATGCAAAATTATTATCAGCTATCAGATGAGGGTCAAGAATTACATTACCTAGTAATCCACGATGAGATAAGAGTGACTTTCTGAATGTATAATTAAAACTAGAATGATTTTAACATAAAGGTATAAACAGCTTCTAGTAAATTGGCTGTAAAGTTTTAAAGTAAATAACTAAAAATCTAAGTCCCTGATATGTCCAGCACTGAAAAAGCTAATCTGTACCAGATGTCTCTGTGCTTGTTTTTATTGGATTGCTAATGTTATTATTGAATTATATTGGAGCAAGCATGGGTATTTATAGTCCATAAGCCATTATGTCATATATTTTATAAGTTATCAAGAGAAAAGCCTCACTCTAGAATGACTCCAAAGTGACCACTGGGTCTTGTTCTTAAAACACATCTAATCATATGGTATGGTCCCTGAGGCCCTACCCGGTGAAGGTCTCTGACTTTGAATCGGCTGGACCTAGACTAGCTCATAGATCTAGAACAAGTATTGGCAGTCTAGTGTCCTTGGGCCCCTTTGATCAGTCATTGTTTTTGCAAAGAAAATTTTACTAAAACACAGCCACACCCATTCATTTACACATTGTCTATGACTGCTTTTGCCAGAGTTGACCTTTTACGATGAAGAAGATGGTCCTCAAAGTCTTATATATTTTTCTGTGGACTTTTACAGGAAAAAGTCACTAACTATTGACCCAGAGAATATATAATGTGCTCTAACATATTAATTCAATGGGTACAAACTTTACTAGTATTGGCTGTTTCCCAATTATTGGAGTTAGATTTCAAATCATTTCAATAACAAATAATCCATTAAAAATTTTAGACAGTTGAGGGGATATAAAATGCTACCTGATGGTGACTGTAATTTACATTTTCTTGCTGACTAATGGTGAAGAGCAGCATTTTACATGTTTATTGACCACTTGTATTTCTTTGGAGAAGTTTCTATTCAAGCGCTTTGCTCATTTTATAAAATTTGTTTGTCTTTTAATATTAATTTGAAAGAGTTCTTTCAATATATTGTCTTTAGTTTCTTTGCTAGATAAAGAACAGTGAATTTTATCACTTTCTGCCTGCATTTCTTGTTTCTTAATGGGGACTTTGATAATCACAGTGATTAATTTCAAAGATTTTCAATGTTAATGAATTATTCAAATTTTACTTCTATGGATTATTGTGTCTTTTCTACAAATATATTTCTACTTAATTAATGAAAATATTCTTCTATTTTCCTCTCAAGAGTTTAAGATTTCAGTTTATATGTTTAAGTCAATAAATAGTTAATTTTAAGGTGGCATTTATCCTAGCAGAAAACAAAAAAGCCAACTTACACATTTTGTACGGAGCAGGGCCCTCTCCTCGTGGTGCCCTTTGAGATGTCTTACATCAGCCTCTCCTTCCTCAGTGCCCTCTTCTGGGCACTCTTGACCTCTGCATTCCTCAAGCTGTAGATCAGAGGGTTCAGCACCTGATTCCAAAGGCTGCAAAACAGGGAAAGGACCTTCTGCTGCTCCTCGGGATGGCGGGACTTGGGGGCCATGTACATGACAATGGCGTTGCCAAAGAAGAACTCCACCACACAGAGGTGGGAGGAGCAGGTAGAGAAGGCCTTTCTGCGGCCCTCGCCAGACTGGATCCTCAGGATGGCCGCCAGGATGCCCAAGTAAGAGACCAGCACCAGGCAGAGTGACCCTACCAGGATGAACATGCAGGCTGCAAAGATGACCACCTGGTTGAGCCAGGTGTCAGCACAGGCCAACTTGAGGACAGACAGGATTTCACAGTAGTGGTTGATTTCATGAGCCCACTGAAGGGCAGCCTCAGAATGAGAACTAAATGGACCAGAGCCAGGAGGAAGCTGAACACCCAGGAAGCCACAGCCAGGACAGTGCACTCTCTCCAGCTCATGAGGACATTGTAACGTAAGGGGTGGCAGATGGCCACATAGCGATCATAGGACAAAACCACCAAAATCAGACACTCTATGTGAGCAAAAGCCAAATACAAGAATGTCTGCATTATGCATGGAAAAAAGCACATGGTGCTTTTCTAGTTCGCAAGATCCACCAGCATCTTGGGAACATTGTTGGAAGCATAGGACATGTCAATGACGGCCAGGTGTGAGAGGAAGAAGTATGAGAGTGTGCAGACTGTGGTCCAGACAGATGAGTTCCAAGGCTATTCCAAGGGAGAAGCTCCAAAAGAGGAGCACTTCCATCTCAGCACTGAGCTGGAATCCCACCAGGATGAATTCTGTGACCATTGATTGGTGACATCCCATTTCTTTTTTTTTTTTTTTTAATTATTATTACACTTTAAGTTTTAGGGTACATGTGCACAATGTGCAGGATAGTTACATATGTATACATGTGCCATGCTGGTGTGCTGCACCCATTAACTTGTCATTTAGCATTAGGTATATCTCCTAATGCTATCCCTCCCCCCTCCCCCCACCCCACAACAGGCCCCAGAGTGTGCTGTTCCCCTTCCTGTGTCCATGTGTTCTCATTGTTCAATTCCCACCTATGAGTGAGAATATGCGGTGTTTGGTTTTTTGTCCTTGCGATAGTTTACTGAGAATGATGATTTCCAATTTCATCCATGTCCCTACAAAGGACATGAGCTCATCATTTTTTATGGCTGCATAGTATTCCATGGTGTATATGTACCACATTTTCTTAAACCACTCTATCATTGTTGGACATTTGGGTTGGTTCCAAGTCTTTGCTGTTGTGAATAGTGCCTCAATAAACATACGTGTGCATGTGTCTTTATAGCAGCATGATTTATAGTCGTTTGGGTATATACCCAGTAATGGGATGGCTGGGTCAAATGGTATTTCTAGTTCTAGATCCCTGAGGAATCGCCACACTGACTTCCACAAGGGTTGAACTAGTTTACAGTCCCACCAACAGTGTAAAAGTGTTCCTATTTCTCCACATCCTCTCCAGCACCTGTTGTTTCCTGACTTTTTAATGATTGCCATTCTAACTGGTGTGAGATGGTATCTCATTGTGGTTTTGATTTGCATTTCTCTGATGGCCAGTGATGATGAGCATTTTTTCATGTGTCTTTTGGCTGCATAAATGTCTTCTTTTGAGAAGTGTCTGTTCATGTCCTTTGCCCACTTTTTGATGGGGTTGTTTGTTTTTTTCTTGTAAATTTGTTTGAGTTCATTGTAGATTCTGGATATTAGCCCTTTGTCAGATGAGTAGGTTGCGAAAATTTTCTCCCATTTTGTCGGTTGCCTGTTCACTCTGATGGTAGTTTCTTTTGCTGTGCAGAAGCTCTTTAGTTTAATTAGATCCCATTTGTCAATTTTGGCTTTTGTTGCCATTGCTTTTAGTGTTTTAGACATGAAGTCCTTGCCCATGCCTATGTCCTGAATGGTAATGCCTAGGTTTTCTTCTAGGGTTTTTATGGCTTTAGCTCTAACATTTAAGTCTTGAATCCAACTTGAATTAATTTTTGTATAAGGTGTAAGGAAGGGATCAAGTTTCAGCTTTCTACATATGGCTAGCCAGTTTTCCCAGCACCATTTATTAAATAGGGAATCCTTTAACAGGATCTGAAATTGTGGCAATAATCAACAGCTTACCAACCAAAAAGAGTCCAGGACCAGATGGATTCACAGCCGAATTCTACCAGAGGTATAAGGAGAAACTGGTACCATTCCTTCTGAAACTATTCCAATCAATAGGAAAAGAGGGAATCCTCCCTAACTCATTTTATGAGGCCAGCATCATCCTGATACCAAAGCTGGGCGGAGACACAACCAAAAAAGAGAATTTTAGACCAACATCCTTGATGAACATTTATGCAAAAATCCTCAATAAAATACTGGCAAACCGAATCCAGCAGCACATCAAAAAGCTTATCCACCATGATCAAGTGGGCTTCATCCCTGGGATGCAAGGCTGGTTCAATATATGCAAATCAATAAATGTAATCCAGCATATAAACAGAACCAAAGACAAAAACCACATGATTATCTCAATAGATGCAGAAAAGGCCTTTGACAAAATTCAACAACTCTTCATGCTAAAAACTCTCAATAAATTAGGTATTGATGGGACATATTTCAAAATAATAAGAGCTATCTATGACAAACCCACAGCCAATATCATACTGAATGGGCAAAAACTGGAAGCATTCCCTTTGAAAACGGGCACAAGACAGGGATGCCCTCTCTCACCACTCCTATTCAACATAGTGTTCAAAGTTCTGGCCAGGGCAATTAGGCAGGAGAAGGAAATAAAGGGTATTCAATTAGGAAAAGAGGAAGTCAAATTGTCCCTGTTTGCAGACGACATGATTGTATATCTAGAAAACCCCATTGTCTCAGCCCCAAATCTCCTTAAGCTGATAAGCAACTTCAGCAAAGTCTCAGGATACAAAATCAATGTACAAAAATCACAAGCTTTCTTATACACCAATAACAGACAAACAGAGAGCCAAATCATGAGAGCCATTCACAATTGCTTCAAAGAGAATAAAATACTTAGGAATCCAACTTACAAGGGATGTGAAGGACCTCTTCAAGGAGAACTACAAACCACTGCTCAATGAAATTAAAGAGGATACAAAGAAATGGAAGAACATTCCATGCTCATGGGTAGGAAGAATCAATATCGTGAAAATGGCCATACTGCCCAAGGTAATTTATAGATTCAATGCCATCCCCATCAAGCTACCAATGACTTTCTTCACAGAATCGGAAAAAAACTACTTTAAAGTTCATATGGAACCAAAAAAGAGCCCACCAAATGTTGGTGATCAAATTAATTTTCTGTGGTAACTTTTTAGAAAACGTTAATGATAAAAATACTGGGAGTAAAAAGCTATTTATGTACAACCTGAAAGCATGCTAAATGTAAATGTTATGTTCTATTTCACAAGGGAGACCAGTTTGGGTTGGATTGGTGAAGAGGGCTCCAAGAGTGCTTTGCAGAATCAGTATTAAGTATGAAGTCAAGTGGGTAGAACAGTTAAAATTGTCTTGAAATAAGGAATAAGAATTTCAAGACTGGGAGCTGCTAGGGGTAGTACTTGAATGAAGTAGAGTGTGTGCTTTGAAGAATAATGAGGTAAGTAGAGTAAGCCTCTATTGGTCACACAGATTATGTTAAAAGAAAAATAACTCCAATTATACTCCTCTTGGATATATCTTTTACTGTTCTCCATGATAGGTTAAATCTATTACTATTATTTTGAAGTGCTCCCTCCACCATAATTTAAGAATTAAACCTCTATTGAGATCTAGGTTAAGAAAAGACACTCAGAGGGTAAGAACTGGAAGGATTTTACAATCGTCAAACTTTATCACTTAGTGCAAAAAAAAAAAGGATAGAGAAAGAAAGAGTATGGCCATTTTATCTGTAGGCACTAACCCACAATAAGGAAATAAATATGTGGCTAAGAAATGCTTGAGATGGAAGGCACACTGAAGAAATTCAAGGAAGAAGATGAAGTATACCTGAACTACCAAGTCAATAATATTTGTGAGAAATTTGCAGTAGTTATTTTACAATGACGTTTTCTCCATTGAGAGAAAGCTATTTTTCTGAAGTGATGCTTTAACAGAATTCAGGGACCTCTAACCAGCAGAGACCAAGAGATCATTGGCTCTCCTCTAGGGAAACTAGGAATTAGAGAGTGGAACAATTTTAAGATTGATAGAATAAGTATTGAAAGAAATTAATTTAAGACATGATCTTGGTTTTTAAATCTTCTGTGCAAGAGTCTTGTCTTTTAACAGAAATCCTGTCCCTGTCCAATCCCAAGTAAACACACATAACACATCCCATGGGAATGCTGAAAGAACAAAATGAATAAACATGGGCAATGCCTTCACTGGTTTGCCTGCTAATAGGAAAGTAGCAAATATCTTTAATTGTCTCTGGAGAGATATGATTAGAAGTATTACCACTGGGTTCTGTTCTCTCAATTATTATTTTTCTCTGCAGGGAGTGAGTGTCTAGTCAAATGATGGTAGAAAAAGCCTGGCTTACACAACTAATTGTATCATAAAGTTCAGGAGAGCTTTGTATCTGGGCTTCACCTCCCAAGAAGGCCTCATTAGCGAGGAGAATCAATCCCAGTCTATCCATTCTGCCTTTCCTGTCTTTGAGGTTCCTAGCAAGCCCAAGGGTATGTTAGAAGAAAAGACCACAGATTATTGTACTGTAAGTAAATGTGGTGTATTTGCCTTGAGAAAGGGTTTACAGATGGAAATGGGAAAGGGGCAGTGAATGAAATCACTGGCTCCAGATAGTAGCGATGAAATGCCCGTGCTATGTGGTCTCCTTCTGCTTCTAAGTCTGTATTTATAGCTAGGGTCCTGAGGGGACCTCTAGGGGCCACCGTCTATCCCAGGATATGGCCATGTACCTCTGACCTTCTCGGCCCCTCCATCCATATCCCCTCATTACCCTGTGGCAGCTCCTGGCTTTGTCATCACTGTGCCATAGAAGAGGATCAGATAACCATCCCTATAGGGTATGATCTGGCTAAAGGGCTCCAATGATTGTCAGGGGCTATGCGGCTCAGGTGACTCTTTTTTACAAATAATGCTAATTTTAAAAACTGAAGTAGAGTTTGTAAGTGGTTTGCTTACCCAGGGATGTATCCTCCTTGCCCCTCTGCTAACTGCCTAGTCCTGCACATTCTCAGAAGCGTTGTGTCACCAGACAAGATCCCCTTCTCAGTTGTTCTGGATACAGGCACCATTCACTCACAGGGAAAAGCCAGTGCCTGTCAGGGTACAGGTTCTCTTTTTTTTTTCTGATTTTAGCAGAGGAACCATTGAGCACAGAACATGTCTCCTTATGATGACTGGATCCAGACATTCTCCTTAACGATGGTTCTCATATCCCTAATTATATATCTAAAAAACCTAAGTTCTTATGTGAGTTAATGCATTTAATCCTCACAACTATGTTATGAGACAGAATTTATTACCCCATTTTGTAGATTGGGAAACTGAGGCATGAAGAGGCACAGAGAAGTCATAAAGCTAGTATGCAGCAAAGCCAGGATCTGAACCCAGGCTGCAGGGCTCAGGAATCCATGCTTGTTCATTTGTTTTTAACACTAGGCTGCGGCCGGGTGCAGTGGCTCACGCCTGTAATCCCAACACTTTGGGAGGCCAAGGCAGGCAGATCACCTGAGGTCAGGAGTTTGAAACCAGCCTGACCAACACGGAGAAACCCCATCTCTAATAAAAATACAAAATTAGCCAGGCATGGTGGTGCATGCCTGTAATCCCAGCTACTTGGGGAGCTGAGGCAGGAGAATTGCTTGAACCTGGGAGGCGGAGGTTGCGGTGAGCCGAGATCTCACCATTGCACTCCAGCCTGGGCAACAAGAGCGAAACTCCGTCTCAAAAAAAAAAAAAAAAAAAACTAGGCTGCTCCCTAGGACTAAGCTCAGTGTCAAAGTATATTATTGGAGATGGCAAGTTATTTCTGAGTAATTGCAAAGATTTGACAAATCAGTGCTGCCTTACAACCCCACTGCTGGAGGCCCCAGGGCTCCCATTCTAAGACAATTTTCAATAGAAACTTTTCTTTTGTGTCAGTGCTAAACACCCTAAATACGCCCCCCTTTTCTTTCCAAAAAATTAATCCTCTCTCTATCATTGGGATATTTAGCATGGTGGGATTGACCTCTTACTATTACAGCCTGTATTTTTTTTTCTTCAGTAAGGGAGTGTGGTTACTTCAAAGGAGTCTTCCATTTCTTTAAATTGCTTTTTAATTTTAAAAATCAAAATATAGGAACATTTATATTAGGAAATCAAAGCAAAATGTGTGTCTTATATTTAAACTCAAAAACAGCCAAAAAGAAAAGCAAGATAAACGTGAAAGTGTTTGCAACACCATGATGATTGCACTGGATTTCCAATTCCTATGCTTTAATACTTCCCTCAATTTTACGATCTCTTTAATATCATTAGTAACAGCTGACATTTATTAAATTCCTATAATGTACCAGTGCGATGGTATTTCTTCTTCACATCAGTCCTTTTGGTATCTGTGGTCAACATTTTACATTTGACAATAATGAGCCTTAGAATACGTGACTCAAATGCGTCATGTTCATTGCTCAGAATCAAGACTGGAATAGTGTTCTGGCCAAGACTGTTACTCCTGTTGCTTTCATTCTTATTCAGAGACCATATTTTTTTCTGTCACTGCTAAATTTGCTTTGCTCTTTAAGAACAGAAAAATGTATCCATGCAGTTTTTTCCCTTACTCCATCCACTGAAGATTGTTCTGTAATGTGTAACTGGAGTGGATGCCTAAATAAATCTTCCTTTCAGATATCTGATTCTTTATTGAACTTCCACAGGCTTTTCTAAAAGAAAAGTCTGACTACTTGAACTGTGAAATCCAAAATACAAAAGGATGCCAATAAATAAAAGGAAAAAAACTATTTTCCTCTTATACTGTATATTTGTTTACTTAACTTCACAATTGAACAGATGGACAATTTTTGTGTGTAGGTAGCCACCATTATAGACTTTTCTCCTTGTGGCCTCTTGTACACAACTGTTAAAAGCACAGTTGATAACCAGAGTTTTATACAGTTTGGATGTAGTTCACGTCTGATTAAATTTCACTTTCACTAAGAATTCTATTTGTTTCTTTCTTTATTCCTGCTCTTTAGAAATAGTTTATTCTAGGCTGCTGGGGTTTTTTTCCCCGAAATTCCTTACTTTACAAAAATTACAAATAAAACTATAAACCCAGATTTGCTTAATTATGAATTTAGATTAACCAAACAATTGTATTTATTTGGTAATGACTGGATTTTTTTTTTACTCCTAAAGCATCCAAATGCCTGCTACCTAGGTCACTGGGCCTTGGAACAGTAGGAGCACAGATGTGTACACCACAGATGGGAGCCAGGAGGGACTAAAAATATGCAAAATATCCATGTGCTTGGAGGTCTCAGGGATAAAAGGCTTCTCCTTTTCAGCTTGATTCATTGGGACATTAACACAACATTTGCTGTGTCCAAAAATTGACAACTACCATTCTGGCATTAAAATTATATTGTGCAGAAAATTAAACAGTTTCCTATTTCAAATATGTGCTCATTGGAAGTTCTGTACATACATATCTTTTAACTGTATTCTGCTTTCATGAATCTAAAAGTAAATCAATTATTATAAAGTCAAAAGTATATCAGCTAAACTGATGAATTTTTTATGTCAATTTCAGATTGTTAAAAATATAAACAAGGTTACAAAGAATAAGTACAATCTCCTGCTCACTATGGTTCAGGTACATTGTGTTTCTTTCTTTCTCTTCCCAGAACTCACCAAGTGCATCTTGTTCAGAGACTTTGCGTTTACTGTTCCATTACTGTTCTCTGTGTAGAGAATGATCCTCTTTTGGCTCTGGGCAGGGTTGTGGCCTTCATGGTTTAGGTTCCACTCACCTGTCTCCTCTTAAGAGAGACCTTTTCCAACCATCCCATCTAAAGGAGACCCCCCTCAAATCAAGTAGCTTTCTATTATTTTACCTAGATTATTTCCTTCATTGTTCTTTTCATGGCCAGCAATTATCTTTACTTGTTTACTCCTGGTCTTTTACAGTGGTAATGAATCATGCCCTCTCTCTGTTCCAAGTCTGGAAAAAATGAGTTGAATAATACATGAAAGAATCGGATATAATTCAAAAAGGTATTTTATTAATAAAGTCTGTTGAAAAGCATGGTTTATATTTTCAACAAAGTTTCTCTCCAAATTAAAATCACAACCATTAGCTGACACCCCTTCCCCACCTCCAAATGGGACTGAACATGCTCCTGATACCTTAATCCCAAGCAGATAGAAATGCATGCAGGTGAAACAGAGAACAGAGAAAGGTCACCCTCAGTTTCTCTTTCCTGTTTCACAAATCATATAAATTAGGGGAAAGAGAGAGGCAGGTATACTCTAAAACAATTTTATCCAGGGGCATAGAGGTTTCCTTCCCTAAATAGAAATGTGAGGTGTGGAAGAGAAGCACATCACCTTAATATTACTTCTTTATAATCTGCCTCCCTTTCAGAATGTGTTTACATCATCCACAGCTGGGCCTCTAAAGCTTAGAACAGTGGCTGAAACAGATCATGCACTCAAGGATCATTCGTTAAGGGATATACAAAATACAAATATAAGTTACAGAACATTGTTTGCTTATGAAAGTAACAGAGATTGTAATTGGTAATGCCTAGTACTGACTATGTGGCAAAGAGACATGATTCTTACACACTGTGGGAGGGAATTGCAATTGGTCAGATTTTCTAGATGGAAGTTAAAATAGGGATAAAAACCTTAGAAATGTCTGTATATTTAGCATCTGCAATTTCACTTTTAGAATATGTTCTAATAAATAATTATGAATATAGGCAAATCTTAAGTTTAAGAGAAATGTATCTCAATGCCAATAAAAATAAGAAATAAACAAAAATTCAAACAGTAAGAAATTCAGTAAATTGTGACAGAATATTGTGCCCCTTTAAAATAATGTCCATAAAATATAATTTCGATACAGGAAAAGTATTATATTAAGTGAAAAATTGTAATGTTTAAATACTCTGTACAATACCCTATTTTAATATATAAATTTGAGGATCTACGTATTTACTAAAATAAAAGACATCAAAATTGTTTTTTTAAAAGTATCCTGTTGGATTTGAACCTTTAGCCTGATTTGAAAATAAAGATAGTCCTCAGGCTGTTTCTGGAATAAATGTGAAGTGTTAACAGAACAGCACCAGGTCACATGGTTTCTCCACCTGATGAGGCCATCCGTCCTGTTCATGGCCCTTGGTCGCCCCCTGCTGGCTGGATAGACCCAGACCCTCCAGGAAGAGCTCCTTAGAAAGAGCTCACCAGCTGGGGCTGCACCTGATCCCATCCCCATCACATGCTCAGATTCCATCTGAACAGCAACAGGGCTGCTGGCATGATCACAGGTGATGGAGAAGAATACAGTTAGGGGAACCGACAGCAACCCCAGTTGCCATAGCTGGGAATATATTGATGACAAAAGACTCTGTCACACTGGAAAGTAAGATAAGCTCTGAGAGATGTCAACATATTAAGTTATAATCGAGAAAAGAGTCCAATAAAATACAATTACGATACAGCGATCATCTTTAAATGTAACCACTTAATGTAAATTGGTTTTTCTTTTGAATTTCTTATTTAAAAGACCTCAGAAATGTCACCATGCTTAGTTATTTTAAAGATATATACATGTATTCATTGTATGTAGCCAAGAATTATTTCACTCATGCCTAATTTACAATAACAGATGCTGATGAAGAAGTAAGGAAAACTCTCAAAATAAAACTACAAACACCAGATATGGAAAAGAGGCACCTAAAGTTGCTGCTAGGGAGTACTGGCCAGCTTCTGAAAAGGAGCGTCTTATCTCAGAAAGCTTTAAAGAAACTACAAAATTGAAAGCTATTTAAAAGTGATTTCAAATCTGAAATAAGTGGGTAGAAAAGCCTGTGAGGAGGTGAGGGACAGTGAGCAAGCCCATGGCAAACAGAGGGTCCCCGTCCCTGCACATCTCAGACTGAGAAGGAAGCAGGATGAGCAAGTGAAACCACCTCATAATGCAACATTTGTCAAGGTCCTCTCTTCTCAAACTACGTAAAAATCAAGATTTCACACTGAAAGGGAAGCAAGGATACTTGAGTTCTTCAAAATAACACATGTGCGTGTGTATCCCCTTATGTAGGGTATATTATAATAGATCCTGTTTTGTTATATTTTATTAAATGTTATATACATGTACACATACACACACAAATATATATACACATATACATGTATGTATTCTTATTATTCCATTGATACAATGCGATTTTTTCTCATTTTTATGAGCACACTTGGTTAGTTTTGGCAACATATCTGAGAATAAATTCTAGAAAATTCATTCAAAGTTATAATTTCTAAGTGCTCCCTCTGTGCATCTTTGACTGGCCCACAGCTCTGACCTTCCTGTCCTAGATGTCCACAAGAGCATGGAAGGCAACAAGACATGGATCACAGACATCACCTTGCCGCGATTCCAGGTTGGTCCAGCACTGGAGATTCTCCTCTGTGGACTTTTCTCTGCCTTCTATACACTCACCCTGCTGGGGAATGGGGTCATCTTTGGGATTATCTGCCTGGACTGTAAGCTTCACACACCCATGTACTTCTTCCTCTCACACCTGGCCATTGTTGACATATCCTATGCTTCCAACTATGTCCCCAAGATGCTGACGAATCTTATGAACCAGGAAAGCACCATCTCCTTTTTTCCATGCATAATGCAGACATTCTTGTATTTGGCTTTTGCTCACGTAGAGTGTCTGATTTTGGTGGTGATGTCCTATGATCGCTATGCGGACATCTGCCACCCCTTACGTTACAATAGCCTCATGAGCTGGAGAGTGTGCACTGTCCTGGCTGTGGCTTCCTGGGTGTTCAGCTTCCTCCTGGCTCTGGTCCCTTTAGTTCTCATCCTGAGCCTGCCCTTCTGCGGGCCTCATGAAATCAACCACTTCTTCTGTGAAATCCTGTCTGTCCTCAAGTTGGCCTGTGCTGACACCTGGCTCAACCAGGTGGTCATCTTTGCAGCCTGCGTGTTCATCCTGGTGGGGCCACTCTGCCTGGTGCTGGTCTCCTACTTGCGCATCCTGGCCGCCATCTTGAGGATCCAGTCTGGGGAGGGCCGCAGAAAGGCCTTCTCCACCTGCTCCTCCCACCTTTGCGTGGTGGGACTCTTCTTTGGCAGCGCCATTGTCACGTACATGGCCCCCAAGTCCCGCCATCCTGAGGAGCAGCAGAAAGTTCTTTCCCTGTTTTACAGCCTTTTCAATCCAATGCTGAACCCCCTGATATATAGCCTAAGGAATGCAGAGGTCAAGGGCGCCCTGAGGAGGGCACTGAGGAAGGAGAGGCTGACGTGAGACATCTCAAAGGGAACCATGGGGAGGGAGCCTTGCTCCCTGCAAAATATAGAAGTTGGCTTTTTTTTTTTGTCTTCTGCTAGAATAAATGCTACCTTAAACTGGAATACTATAGACCTATACATATAAACTGAAGACACAAATCTTTTAGAAAAGATAGGTAAATGCATTTATAATACTGGATAGGCATAAATTCATAAAGAAGACACAAAAGTCCCTAGATATAAAATTTTTAAGTTCGATAAATATAGGACCTCTTCACATTAATCATTGTGCTCATCAAAGTCACCATTAAGAAAGAAGAAATGCAAGCCACAAACCAAGTGATCGTATGGAAACTACATGTACCCAGAAATGGAACTATTGTTCATACAGTACATAGAAAGAACTCCTTTAAATCAGCAATAAAAAATATAAACAACCAAATTTTATAAAATTAGCAAAACATGTGAACATATACTCTTACAGAAAATACAAGGGGCTGATAAACATACAAATGCTGCTTTCCACCATTAGTAAGCAAGGAATTGTAAATTAAAACCACCATGAGATACTATTATATACCCACTAAGATGTCTGAAATTTTTAATGGCTTATTTATCATTGAGGTTATTGGAAATCTATTTCTAATATTGGAAATGGTCGATACTAGCAGAGTTTGTGCCAATAGTAGCCAAGTCACATTGAGTTAACAGGAGCATAGTACACATCCTCAAGATCAATAATTAGTGACACTTCCTGTGAAGATACACAGGTTAATGCTTAAGGCTTTGAGGGCCATCTTCTGCGTCAAAACAACTCAACTCTGACAAAAGCAGCCATAGACAATGTGTAAACAAATGGGTGTGCCCGTGTTCCAATAAAACTTTATTTGTAAAAACAGGTGGCTGCTGGAATGGTGCCCAGGGACAGTAGTTTGTGAACCCTTGTTCTAGATCTTAAAACTAGCATAGTTCCAGCTGATCCCACTTTAGAGACCCTCACTGGGTGGGGCCTCAGGGAGCATGTGATTAGACATGTCTTGCAGTCAAATTCCTGTGATCACATTGTACTTACTTGAGAGTGAGACTTTTCCTCCTTTGACACTTTCTAAAATATGCCATGACTCAATAGCCAGTGGACTGTAAATATTCATGGTTTCTCCATCACACAGGAATTAAGAGCAGGCTCCTCATACTCCATCACTAATTTGAGCCTGAGATCTTAGGATAAAAGTTTGCAACTCAACATTCTAATTGGAGCACAGCAGTCCAGTGAAAACAAGCACAGAGATATCTTGTACAGATTAATTTTTAAGAGTGGATTTAACAAGATCGTAGATTTTTAATTGTTTTCTTTTATATTTAGCAACCATTTTATTAAAAGCATCTTATATCTTGATATTGAAAAAGTCCTAGTTTTAATTATATTTTGAGAGAGCCACTCTCATCTTAGCCTGGAATACCCAGAAATGTAACTCTTAACCCTAAGCTGATAGCTGATAATAATTTTGCCTGGAAGAGAACATAGAAGGAAAAATTACTAATATCAAAACCTCAGGATATGTTAGAGTTCTTTTTAGGATGGAGTCTTGCTCTGTCACCAGGCTGGAGTGCAGTGGCACGATCTTGGCTCACTGCAACCTCTGCCTCCCAGGTTCAAGTGATTCTCCTGCCTCAGCCTCCCGAATAGCTGGGATTACAGGTGCCCACCACCACACCCAGCTAATTTTTGTATTTTTACTAGAGACGGGGTTTCACCATGTTGGCCGAGATGGTCTCCATCTCCCGACCTCATGATCTGCCCGCCCCAGCCTCCCAAAGTGCTAGGATTACAAGCGTGAGCCACTGAGCCCGGCCTGGAGATCTTATGCTGTAGAAATCTTTACTATGTAAAGAAGGGAATCACTAGACTGATACGGCAGGGATTTCTAAAGCTGAACACTACTCTGATATTCAGAGCACAAGTTATCTTACTTTCACTAATCTCAGAAAGTATTAACCTATCTTGCTTCCTTTTTATTCCTGAAATGTAAAGTGTTGTATACTAATGTATTATTGTTTCCATTTTTTTTTCTTGGTGCTCCTCAGCCAATTTTAAAATCAACCTGCCCATTTCTAGCCCTCGCACAATAGCATACGATTTTCCTCTCAGTGTCTACCATCCATTATGACAAAATATTTCACTGATAGAATTCTCTGTGACATTTGATTTGACAACAAAAAGAATGGTGACTGTCCCACAAGATAAGAAAAGCTTTTAGGGGAAATAGATGCCTACCTAGGCATCCTGGGACAAGCTGAATTCACTTTAAGAGGGGGAGAAATGTTAACTAGAATAAGCAAAAAAGAGGGAATTCTCTTCCATGAGGAAGGCAAAGGAGTGAACTCAACATAGAAACGTAATGAAGTTCAGGTGGAATGGGTCATGCAGACTCAGCAAATAACGCAGGATACTGCTAGGACTCAGTGTTAGAGGAGGGGTTTGTGCCCTGACCCAACAGGACTTATTGGCTGATTTTTTTGTTGCTTGTCGGTTGGTTGGTTGGTTGGTTTTTTTGTTTGTTTGTTTTGGTTTGGTTTGTTTGTGTGTGTGTGTGTTGTTTGTTTGTTTGTTGAGACAGGGTTGCTCTGTCACCCATCAAGGCTGGACTACAGTGGTGTGAAGTTGGCTCACTGCAACCTCTGCCTCACAGGTTCAAGTAATTCTCCTGCCTCAGCCTCCCAAGCAGATGGGACTACAGGCAAGCACCACCATGCTCAGCTAATTTTTATATTTTTAGTAGAGGCGGGGTTTCACCATGTTGCCGAGGCTAGTCTCAAACTCCTGAACTAAATTGATCCACCCGCCTCAGCCTCCCAAAGTGCAGGGATTACAGGCGTGAGCCACTGTGCACTGTCCCTATTGGCTGTTGTGATGCAGACAGAAGCAAAAGCAGCCCTGGGGCAATGGCCTTCCATTCTACTTGAATAGGCACAAGGGGATCACTGAAGGGAACCTTGTAGACCTTATAACTTATCGAAGTTCTCTGAGGCACTGATAATTTTCACTGATGGACTATGACTGCCTTCATCCCAAGAGTAGATCTGAGTAAGATATAACCTGTAGTACAATTAGGAGTTCTGGGAACTATTCTGAAAACACCGTGCCCTCACCTGAGGACAGAGGTGGGTCCCGCTATATAGCAGCACACAATAGAAACTAGTTTCAGTGGAAAGCTTTTAAACCTAGATAGGGTAACTGAATTTGTCCCCAACAGAGTTGGAACCCGGAAATAACCAAATCATGGCTAATTGTAACGATACTTGTCAGTAATAATATGGTGTACGAGCATGGGCCACAGCTGTTAGAAAGGGATAGTAAATACTTCTCTAATTCTTACTGATTTGTTCTGGAATGAAACTGCTTATACCATGATCACACTGCAGTATGGTATAACATTGGCATTGTTGGTAATATTCAACTATTTTATGTAAATAACTCGTGTTAATATTGAAACTGATGATGAAATATATTGCAAAATCAGGTTAAAACTTCCTGATACCAATGGAAAAGGATGGCCTGTAGAAGAACTTAATATAACTAACCATCAGCTAATATCTACGCTAAATTGTTCTGTATAAGGTTATCACAGGGTGCAAATAAAGGGGGAAGCCGGTAATCAGATTAGTGCGAAAACATGAAAATGTATGTGTATGTCACGACTTTATAGGATGGATTAGCTGTTTTCTTAGGTCTTTCCCTACCCCACAGTGACTCACAGATATTAGACATATTTATGCTGACACTATTGCTGTATCTGTTATATAAATGCTTTTCTAAATATAGATACTCTGAAAAGTGTGATCATTCTGGTAAAAGAGCCTAAGCCAAGTGCCTGGTGAGTGAACTGTACAAGAAAGGGTTAACTCAGTTAAATTTATATAAACTCATATAAAACTTTAAAATACTCTAATCATATCACTTAGAGTAAGACACAGAAATGGAAATTTTTCCCTTTGGAATTTGGATTCAGGGCCATGTTATTTTGGGTGGGAAATCTGAAGCAATAGCTTGAGGCCTATAATAAAGATAGCATTGATAGAACAGCATGTGTTCAAGGAAAAAATATAGGATCAAAAAATGAAAACAATGCTCAGTGGTTAAGATGAAATGGCTTTATGGGATAGGCAGAATTCTCTAAATGGCCCCCCTTAGACTTTTGTTATTTAATCAAACACTAATCTAGGTTCTGCTGTGAAGGGGCTTTGTAGATCAATGGGTCCTAAAATGTGAAGGTTACCATGGTAACAATCAGGTGAGTCTTCTAAAGGCTGGGAATTTTTTTCACCTAGTAACAGAGGAGGAAGTCAGAGAGATTTGAAGTGTGTGAAGCACTCAACAAACATTGCTGATTTAAACACGGAGGTGGTCCCATGTAGGCACCAGAGTGGCAGCAGGCAGCTCAGGCCATCCCAGATCCCAGAGGACAGAAAACAGCAGTGACAAATGGACAGAGATTTCAACCCTACAACCACAAGGAATCTAATTTTTCCAACAACCATTAAACTTGAAAGAGGATCTCAAGTCTCAGATGAGAATTGCAGACCAAGCTAAAATCTTGATTTTGTTTTAAAGAGAATCCAGCTGACCACCAGGACTTCTGATCAATGGAAACTGTGAGATAATAGATATGTGCTGTTTTAAGCCATTAAGTTTTTGTTAATTTGTTGCAACTGCAATAGAACGTGAATGGTGAATACACTTTTGGTATTAAATAAAGATCATTTGTTTCCAGCTCTAGTCCTTGCTAGATTGGTGATCCATAATTTAGCGCAATAATTCTCTAGCTCTTTGGTCTCAGAACACTTTTAAATTCTTAAAAATTACTGAGGGTCTGAAGATATTTCATTTATGTAAGTATATTTGTTGATGTTATAATAGAAATCAAAACTGACAAATTTATTATTTACTTTTAATTAATTTAAATGGCTTCCAATATAGGTTAATATGATATTCTTGATAAGATATTCTTATAAATAATATATTTTATAAAAAGTAACTTTATTTTACATTTTTGCAATTCTTAAAATATTCAGCTTAATAGAAAGCTGCATTTTACGTTTCCTTCATTCTATCTGTTGCCATATCAGCTAGCCTCTGAAAAAATTCAGTGTGCACTCGTGAGAGAACGAGGGTAAAAAAATATTAAAACTATCTAAATAGTATTGTGAAAATAGTTTTTATCCCACAGACTCTTTGAAAGCTTGTCAGAAATTTTCAGAGTCCCTCAACCACACTTAAAGAATAGCAGACAGCATATCAAAATGTCAGTCTTCATATATGTAAAATGAGGATAATGATCAGATTAAAATATATAGTCCATATAAAGCAGAAAATGTGTCACATTTTCTGAAACACAAAAAGGGCTCAATAATTGATACTTATGTCTATTTTAATCCTTTTTCATTTGTATCTATCACTTCCTACAGGAAATAGAAATTTATGTTGGCATTGAGAGATCTGTTCCTTCTCAGAGTCCCCATACCAGGTTCCATGAAAACCACCTCTCAACTATCTGAAAGTCACGGCCTCTCTTATACCTTCATGGAGATTGTAGGGAAGTATAAAGTAATAAAACCATAATCATTTTAAGAGTTTGGATATTGTAATTTGTGATGTCTGCCTCATGTTTATGACCCTTGAGATCTGTGAAAGCTTGTGCAGAAATAGTGTGATGCCATCATCTGCCCTGCCTGGTCCTGATAATTTTCCTGTAAGGACAATCAGAAAATCTTTGTTCTCCTCCAGAGAGAAGATCCGGAGATCTTCCCTATACTCCTTAGAGAGAAGACAAATAAGTATATATTATTATCCTCCTGGGAATTTAATTCTCAATAGAAACTCAAGAATGTTTTTATTCATCTGATTCTAAAATAAAAGCTATGCTCCTGGAGTTAGCTAAAGAAACTTCAGTGAGTCCAGTGAATCTGTCTGTATCTGGGATTTAATCCTATGAAGGCTTCCAGAGGGAGTAGGAGTCTATATTCATTTTAGCGGTATGTGTCTCATCTCTGTAGGGTTTATTCTAGGTCAAAATATTATCCTGAGGAAAAGTCTAGTGCTAACATCTCCTTATATAGAAGACATTCATTTCTGCTGGGAGGTGTTTTCCTGTATAGGTAGTTGAACTAGAGCTGGATGACTGCAGAAATCACCATGGCTATGCTGGAAGAACAACATCCCTGGGTGACTTTCCCTCCTGAATCAAAGTGTAGATTGCAGGTAGTTGGAATACACACCAATGTCCCTCTCCTCCTCCCAGGGAACGTCTTCCTGCTCTGCTGTGAACAGGGGTCCCAAGGCTCCCCCAGCATCTCTCGCACCATCACCTGCCAATGTCCCTTGATGGTGGAGGTCAGAGCTAGCCCCATTGTCTCAATGAGAAGGAGCTCAGAGAAGGAGGGGCTTTGTATCCAGGTCTCTGAATAAGGCTTTGAAATAGCCAAATTAATGCAAGGACTCTATACATTACCCAGCCTAAATAAAGATATACATGGCCAGGAAAACCTTTCTCAATGGAAACGAAAAATCTATCACAGTTACATTACATCTTTTTCTATCTGAAAGAGTTTAAAAGGTAAGTCTGTCATAGAATTATGTCTTTGGGGGAACTATCCCAGGCTATCACTACTACTAAGAGTTGGAGAAATAGAATAAAGCACTCTAGCTGAAGAAACATTCTGGGTTGCAGGACTGCCTGGGTGGAAAATAGCTCATACTGATCAAGAAAACCTTTTATTTTCTGATCTGCTATTGTTTTATTTATTCTATTGGAAAGGTGAAATTTTAGGCATCATCACTGTGATATTTTGTTCTCCATTCCAGTGTGTTAGCCACTTAAAGATGTTAATCTGCCTGCAATTTTATTTTTTTTAATTTTGTCTGTTTTTCAACAGCAAATGGTAAGGGTAATGACAATAAAAAGATTTATAATCCAGAAAAAATAACTAGACTAAAATATCAAGAAACGAATGTTCCTACTGGGTAACAATAGATTGAATTATCTTCAATAATATTGTTATCCTTTATATTCAGAAATTAAATATGTTTCAGACATGAGTATTATGTCCAACTCTGTTTAATAAAGATTTTGCAATATGATGTTACTATCCCCACTTGGCGTACTATAGGAATATATCTTATTGTAACAAAATAATTTAATGCATATTTATATAGAACCCTCTTCAAATACAATGTATTTATAGAAATTTAAGAATTTGTGATTTTGCCTTTCTGTTTTATTGAGTTATTGATCTCAAAGAAACACTGCCCATGTGACTGATCCCTCTTAGGCTTAGTTTGCAAAAGTTCACAATGCTCACACATGTATCTTCAAGCTTACCTCTCAGGTTATTTTACCTCCATATGAAGTACTTGCTTCAAAAATCCATTACTCTAAAATTGTCCTCAAGCATTGATTCAAAGCAGGTATATGATACTATATTTGTTTTTTACAGCTTGTGTAACAAATTACCACAAATGTGGTTGAATAAAACAATAGAAATTCATTCTCTCACAGATCTGGAATCTAGTAAAATTTTGCTCCCTTTGGGAAACCTAAAGGAGAACATATTTCATCCCTCTTCCAGCATTCCTCAGTGTCTGGCCACATCTCTGTCTGCTCTGTCGTTGCATCACCTTGCCTCTGTGTGCCTTCAGCAGTTTGTTTCAAATCTCCTTCTGCCTTTATTGCATAAGAAATGTTGTCATTGGAATTAGGGCTCATCCATAAAATTCAGGATTATCTTAAGATTCTTAATCACACCTGCAAAGACCCTCTTTCAAAATAAGGCAATATTCACAGGTGCTGAGGATTAGGATAGGGCTATATCTTTTGGGGGTCACCATTCAATCCACTACACATACAGTACATTTAAGTGGGGCCATTTTATCTACAGACGCAATATAGTCCCTACCATTATGCTAATTTGAATGTATCCTTTGCAAATACTGTTTTTAATTATTTTGACATTTCAAATAATCAAATTGTAGCTGTAATGTTTTTTTAAAAAGTATAAATTATTTTTACACTTTTTTAAAAAAGTATAAATTATTTTTACACTTTTTTAAAAAAGTATAAATTATTTTTACACTTTTTCTAAAAAGTATAAATCATGTCCTGGCCAATAGACAAAAATATATATTATATATATTTACCATATATATTCTATATGTTATATATGTATAGTTTATAGAGTATATTTAATATACATATACATGAATAACTAAATCTATAAGTAAAAATGTCATTCATCTAAGTATTATACTTTTTTTAAAAAGTATAAATCATGTCCTGGCCAATAGACAAAAATATATATTATATACATTTACTATATATATCCCATATATTTTATACATATAGTTACAGAGTATATTTAATATACATATACGTAAATAACTAAATCTATAACTAACTAAAAATGTCATTCACCTAAGTAATAAGCATTTTCTGAGTGTCTACTTTTATCTACAAGTATACTACTTATTACAAGAGATGAAGAAGTATAAGATATATTACCATTCATTATCTGGTGAAGGCATATCTCCATTCAAATAAATGACATTTGATATCCTTGCCCCTTCATCTTTGATTTTACCTTGAGAATTGTCTATATCGTCATAGTGAGGACATAACTCTTTTAACTGTAATGATTGACCAAGCCTATACCTTTAATATGTGCCTAAAGAGCCTACCCTTGTGCCTCTACTCTAATTTGCTAGAATAGAAAAGACTCTCTTTATAGGCCGTCTATCAAGTAGGTTTTCAATGGGGCCTAGACAAGTTCAAGCAGGCTGCTTCCTTTCTTTTTATAGTAACTGGTTGTAAACATGCAAGAAAATCCTTCCAAGAAGAGGCTATGATTCCACTACAATTCCCCTTCACACTTATACAATGAGGCTAGTGGATAAGCATAGTAATGACATTAGTATTTTTGAAAGATTCATATGACTTTTGCAACTTAAATATAGGCCTGCCTGAGAATTTACATTTACCTATGCCTCAAATCCTCCAAACGGATAGTCAAAATTCTCAAAATTTTATTACTGAATCCATCTTACATTCTTATGCACTAAAAAATAAAGTCAGTAACAAGTATAAACTGAAAATATATCCATCATAGAAAGAGATTTATAACTATCTGGGAGTGTGTCTGCTTTATAGAAACCTTGCCATTTGCCATGTGTGATAAAATGAAATTATATTTATACAACATTTTAAGTGCTATGTTATTGATTATTTTAAATTATTTTTTAACTTGTCATTTCTGTGTGAGTAAAGATATTATCTTTTATTTAATATATATGAAGTGTTAACTCATTCTCAATGTCATTCACCTATGAAGCAGGACTTCCCCTCAAGGCAGAAACTGAAATTGAGAAGGAAACACTAGATTAGATAAAACATGAGAAATCTGTATTTGTTGTGCTTAATAATATATGTAGAAAGATGTCTAGGTGGGAAATCTGAAGTGCAATGTTAAGATGGTTCTTTCACATGGGACCGCATGGAACCTGGGGAGTAGCAGAAGGTTAATTTGAGATTACAGCATCATGATTGATAAATTAGACATCCTCTTCCACTAGGAGGCATCTTACAGTGATACACCTTAATATATTTGGGATTTTTGCTTGTTTGATTTTTAGATGAGTACACAGAGATATATAAATACATAAATTGATTGACTTGACTGAGCACTTCTAAGTCTCAGAATTTACTATTAAAAATGTCATGAAAAAAGACAACAAATACAAACATATACATATATAATTTAATTACTGAAGCATTATATAGCACACAATCTAATGATGAGATAATACATTAAGTCCATTAGAATATTTGTATTGAATAATAGCTGTTCAAACTATGTTTCAGAGAAATATTTTGACATGGGAAATGGTTCATGATATATGATAGAGCTAGTTAAACAAATAGCATTTTTCATATAATTTTTATAATAATGATATATATGAAATAAACAGTAGAAAAGTATAACTGCACAATTATTTAAAATGATCACTTTTGTTTGTATGTTTCAACATGTCATCTCTTTAGTCCTTTAACTAGAGTTTCACGTTTTTCTAGGTTTTTAAAACTTCAAGTCAAAATCTCATACAAAGTAGGTATCACATTGTTTACACAAGGGTTCACACAAAATCTAAAATATTCAAGATTCTAAAATTTCTAAATAAGAATAAAAGCAGGAAAATAATATAAAACCTGATGGTTAATAAGGTAGTAGAATTACAAACATGTATTTTTCACCAAAAATAAAATAATAAATATCAAAACCATTTTCTTCAATGCTAACACCATAAAGGAAGTCAGTTAAGTTATATTATTTTCAGAAGAATCTTGAGAATGTATTATCCCCATAATAATTTGTATGCTTTCTCAAATTATATGCTCTTGTTTTTAATGTAGAATACCAGAAATTCATGCTATCCTCATGATAAAAATCATGATAAAATACAAATTATCATGATAAAATATAAATTATTAAAAATCCAATAAAACCCAGATGAATATAAATATCGGCTTATAAATATAATTCTTTATTAAAAGTGATTATAACTTTTGGGGGAAATGGCTGTTTTGTGATTGAAGTGGGGAGTATACAAAGGGAGCTTGAAACATCTGGTCATATCAGAAGGAAATAACTGCTCAAATATTATGGGAACATGTTAAAAAGACAGAGGAGCATGCTTAGAAGGCCTAGATATAGGAAAATTAAGCACCAAAAAATGACAACAATGAAGCAACCCACTGAATAAAAAAATCCATGAGTCTATACTGATGGATAGATAGATGACAGATAGCAGATAGATAACAGATGATAGATAACAGATAGAGAGCAGATAGATAATAGATAGGTAAGTGAATGAAGAATTTTTTATACTAAAGTTGCCAACTAATAAATGTAAAAGCAATTATAGAGTCAGAACAACACATTTTGAATCATTATTAATAACTGAGTTAGGCAAGATAATCAATAGATGCTAAAACTAGTGACTGAAAGGAACTAGTGAAGTGACATTATGAGGAACAAGCTACATATATAATAATTTTAATGGGTACTCCAGAAACTAATTAGGGAAAAAAAAATCACATAATGGAGATATCTGGGAAGCACCATCTTCACCAAGTGATCCAAGTTAGCTTCACCCCAATAACAGGACAAATTAATATCATATACTTTCTCAGAACACACAGACGAGAATACTATTTTTCCTGCAGAAAGTGAATAATTTGAACAAAAACATTGAGGAATATTGTACACTCTCAATTTGTTGGACATTATGCTAAAGAACTCTTCAAAATATCAGTGTTCAGAAAGGCACAAAAAGGCTGAGTAAATATTACAGGTACAGGAGACTAAAGACAGATGACTTTAGATATAATGCATAATCTTGGGTTAGGTCCTAGACTGGTGTGGTTGGAGGGAGAATATTGTATATTAGAGAAAAGAAACATGTCAATATCAATATCAATATCAATATTAAACATGTCAATGTCAATATTAAATTTTCTGATTTTAATACTTATATTATGGTCAAGCTAGTGGGAATTAGTTTTTTCTTACTAAAAGATCAGAAATTTAAAATTAAATTGGTATTATGTCTACACTTTAATCTCAACTGGTTCAAAAAATAAAAATTACATAGAGAAAGAGAATAAGACAAATAATAAATGTTAATATTTGCTGAATCTGTATGAAATTAAGTGGGAGTTCTTTGAAAAATTTGTGACACTATTTTTAAGTTTAAATTTATTTCATAATTAAATGCTAAAAACAGAAAGGTAATAAATCTTGGGAATTTGAAGGGGCTTATCTAATAGGAACAAACATATATAGCCTTTATCTTAGCTCATTTTCAGATAAAAACTCAAATTTTCTGACCTTTCTATCACACTTCAGTCCTTGACAGACTTCCATTAAGGAATGGGAGTCAACCAATCATGGGTCACAGAATTCATCCTGGTGGGATTCCAGCTCAGTGCCGAGATGGAAGTGCTCCTCTTTTAGATCTTCTCCCTGTTATACATCTTCAGCCTGCTGGCAAATGGCATGATCTTGGGACTCATCTGTCTGGACCACATTCTGCCTACCCCCATGTACTTCTTCCTCTCACACCTGGCCATCATTGACATGTCCTATGCTTCCAACAATGTTCCCAAGATGTTGGCAAATCTGATGAACAAGAAAAGAACCATCTCCTTTCTTCCATGCATAATGCAGACCTATTTGCATTTCTCTTTTGCTGCTACAGAGTGTCTGATTTTGGTGGTGATGTCCTATGATAGGTATGTGGCCATTTGCCACCCTCTCCAGTACACTGTCATCATGAGCTGGAGAGTGTGCACGATCCTGGCTCTCACATCCTGGTCATGTGGGTTTGCCCTGTCCCTGGTACATGCAATTCTTCTTCTAAGGTTGCCGTTCTGTGGGCCCCGGGATGTGAACCACCTCTTCTGTGAAATTCTGTCTGTCCTCAAGCTGGCCTGTTCTGACACCTGGGTTAACCAAGTGGTCATATTTGCTACCTGTGTGTTTGTCTTAGTTGGACCTCTTTGTTTGATGCTTGTCTCCTACATGCACATCCTCTGGGCCATCCTAAAGATCCAGACAAAGGAAGGCCGCATAAAGGCCTTCTCGACCTGCTCCTCCCACCTGTGTGTGGTTGGACTCTTCTTTGGCATAGCCATGGTGGTTTACATAGTCCCAGACTCTAATCAACGAGAGGAGCAGGAGAAAATGCTGTCCCTGTTTCACAGTGTCTTGAACCCAATTCTGAACCCCCTGATCTACAGTCTGAGGAATGCTCAGGTGAAGGGCGCCCTCCACAGAGCACTGCAGAGGACGCTGTCTATGTAAGGAGTGGACAGAGTGTTAGTTGGATAGGACTTTGCTTTTAAACAAGTGGTTTGCTAAAGCAAAAACTGATAAATTTTTTTCAGTTAGAAGTTTGATATAAATATGGGAATTTTTCGAATTCTGGCTCTGAAAATACGACAAGATTACAGTGAAAAAAACAGCACATTATATTTTACACTACCTTTCCCACTGAAAACTCTATGGAGTATGAACCCAGTTTCTGGATTAAATTTTAGTGTTGAGAGTCACTTCTATTTGCAGAGTGGAAGAGATGGAAAAGCTATTTTCCTTTGGAATTTGCATCATTTTCTCAGCATTTTATTGCAAATCTCCCATTTTGAAAGAAAAGCAAACAAAACCCAAAGCAAGCATAAATAGATATAGATTAAAATGTGTATAAATAAAATAGAGAAATGAAAAAGAATAAGTAAAATCAGTGAAAACAAAAGTGCTTCTTTGAAAAGGTTAACAAAATTGACAAACTTTAGCTACATTTACCAACAAAACAGTGAAAGACTAAAATTACTAAAATTAGGGATATAGAAAACATCATTAACAATCTTACAGGTACAGAAAGGATTATCAAAGAACACTGTGAACAACTCTGTGTGAACAGTTAGAAACTTACTTAAAAGGAGAAATTTCAAGAAAGTCACAATCTACCAACTCACTCAAAAATAAATAGATAATCTGAATACACTTCTAGTAAGTAAAGAAGTTGAATCAGTAATTTTAAAACTAACACCAAATAAAGTTGCCAATCACATTGCTGTAGTAACAAATACTATTTAATTTTTAAAAGAATAATTACTACTATTTCTTCATAAAAATCTCTCAAAATAGAAGAAAATGGAACATTTCCCATCTTATTCTATGAGGCCAATATCACCTGATATCAAAAAAATCAAAGGCATCACAGGAAATAAAAACTATAGACCAATTTCTTTATGAATATAGATGCAAAATTATTCAACGAATACCAGCAAACCAAATGCAGCAAGCATAATTACCAAGTGAGGTTTATTCAAAGAATGCAAGGTTGTTTAAACATTCAAAACTCAATGTAATAGACCATGTTAATAAAATAAAGAAAAGAAAACACATCTAATTATACATACTAAAGGCATTTGACAATTCCAAAATCCTTTCCTGACACACACACTCACACACACACACACACACACACACACACACCAGACTAGAAATACAAGGGAATTTCTTCAAACTGATAAAGGGTAGATAAGAAAACCACAACTAAAATTACAATTAACTGTTAAAGACTGGGATGCTTTCCCCATAAGAAACATGATCAAGGAAGTCTTTTGTTGCTGCTTCTGTTCAGCATTAGACTGGAAGTTCTAGCCAGAGCAATTAAACAAGAAAAAGAAATAAAAGGCATCCAGATTGGAAAGGCATAAGGTGAAATGATCTTGTGAATAGAAAATTCTAAGGAATTTTTTAAAATCAGCTCAAACAAATAAATTCAACAATGCTGCAGAATAAAAGTTTTGTACTCAAATATCAATTGTATTTCTGTCAAGAAGCTGAGCTTGAGACAGCTGAGTTTCCAAGTGTCTGAGTAACCAAGCTAAGCAACCAGCCAAAATAAAAGCAACGGTCAAGTGTTTAATCATTTACTGTGATCGCATAAGCAAGAGGTTGAACTAGAGTAAGTTCCAACTCCCACACTGTTTCATTTATCCCTGTGGAACTGCACTGTGCAAAGGTCAGGTGGATCGATACAGAAGTAGGGATCATCTCACAGCTGAAGGATCCCCAAGCAAAAGGTCCTAATATTTTATGAGCCTGAGAATACAAGAGAGGAGAGAAGAGGGAGAGAGAAGGGGAGTAGAAACATACTAAATACTGAGTCAGAGTGGAGAAAAGGTGTCTTCAGGGTCTCCCCTTTTCCTCATAAGATCTAGGCCAAGCTTGTCCAACCCAACTCACTCAAAACTAAATAGATAATCTGAGTAGACTTGTAATAAGTGAAGAAGTTGAATTAGTAATTTTAGAACTTACACCAAATAAGGCCATCAATCACATTGCTGTAGTGGCAAATTATACTTAATTTTAAAAGACTAATACTATTTCTTCATAAAAATCTCTCAAAATAGGAGAAAATGGAACATTTCTCAACTTATTCTATGAGGCCAGTATCACTTGATACCAAAAAATCAAAGACATCACAGGAAATGAAAACTATATTTCCAAAGACCTATTGATCAACTGTTTGATGTGGCTTTCAGGGTATTCAATAATAGGGATAGGGCTGAAGAGGCTGAAAGAATCCAGCATGGCAAATGATGGGATAGACAACAAGCCCGATTGATAGCAGTCTCTGTAAGCAGCGCCCTGCAACCTCAGGGTCACCCAGGGGGATGCTTCACCCACAGATCAAAAAAGCCTAATAGCAAACCTGCAGGTAATGGCTGCTACTTTAAGTGTGGGAAGCCAGGACATTAGAGCAAGAACTATCCCAGTCAGGGCAGCCCACCCAACCCTGTTCTCACTGCAGGCAGGCGGGTCATTGGAAAAGGGATTGTCCTGAGCTGTGAAGGAAGAAGACACTTTATGCCATAATGGCCCTAACTGAGGACTGGCGGCCATAACTGAGGACTGGAGGGTCCAGAGGTTCCTAGCGACTCCCACAAAAGGCATAGTAAGGAGTCTTGACTGATTGTTAACATGACAGGTAAGAATATTAATTTCTTAATTGATATGGGGGCCAGTTACTCTGTCCTAAATGGCCACTCTGGGTTCTTATCCTCCAAAAACTGTACTGTCATCGGTGTTGATGGCACCCTAAAATCAAAGATTAAGCCATTTTTCTACAAAAAAATTTTTATGTAATCAGAAAGACATTACATTTAGGTTTTGGTCAGTAAAATTCCTAATCTTCTAAAGAAACAAAATGTGTTTACATAACCTCCCATCCATTGCTGTTTGATTACTGTTTAATCATCCATATATTTGTGTTTTTATAAAGATATTGAAAGAGATGGAAGATGCTTTCAAGGTCCCTTATAAAGGTCAAAGTGTCAATTATCAGTAAATACAAAAGAAGTCTACAATTGAATGAGGCGGTAGACAGCCTGATCAAACACAGAGCACAATGAGAAGTGCTCTTTCAGGGAATTACTTCATTGAAACCACAGACCTCACCTGAGGTATGTAGTCTAAGCTGAAGTTATTTTGTCCCATCACATTAGCTGCTTAAGCCTGTCCTTTAATTGTACACTAAAATGCTCACTCACATTTGCATCTTAGCCCTAGCTCCCTCAACAATGAGATTATTTCCCACATCAGTACTGATCCATTTGATCCTCAACTGATATTATTTCATCAGAGAAAATGAAAATTGGGCAGGCCAGCACTTACTTCTTCTTGGCCTCTTGCTTATAGTATCACACAAAGTGATTAAAGGCATAAGTGTTACTTTCATTTTGGCCTGTTGTTTTAATTGTCTACTCCAACACCTGGAGGCTCACCTCTCTCTAGTCTGTCTTAACTCTCATATACAAGCAATGAACAATCCTAAATAAACTGAAGAAAAGAATCCAATTTGCAAGACTGAGAAAATAAAATGCCTAAGAATACATCTAACAAAAAAAGAAAGACTTACATACTAAAAGCATAAAATATTGTTGACTGAAATTAAAATTTTAAGTAAATAAAAATACATTCCATGAACTATGAATTGGAAAACAATTGTGCAGGTTTTTGGCTTAGAGTGACATCAGCAAGATGGTAGAATAAGACTTTCCCATACTTGTCCCCTCTCAGAACCATCAATTTGAACAAGTATCCATGCACAAACATATTTTCACAGGAGCTAAAGAAACAAGGTGAGTGATTACAGCAACTGTGTGTAGCACAGAAATAAGAAAACATTCATTGTAAAGAGTAGGAAGGGCAGTTTCACAATACCTGCATCAACCCTCCCTACTCCAGGCAGAACAATGCAGAGAGAGATACCCTCTGCATAGAGGAAAAAGAGGGAAGTAAATAACAGATTTTGTCTCAGACTCCAACGCTGGGCCAGCCTAGATGCCAACAGTGGGTCTGCACCAGGCAGACTTTCACAACCACAGTCTCTGAGCTGTTACCCACAGATTCAGCCTATCTGCCACTGCCAAATAGGTCCCCACAGATTCAGGCTCCTGGCTGGCCCCATGGCTCCAGAATTCAGGCGGCACATGCAGACTCAGTCTCCAGTCTCACTCCAGCACTAGGACAGCCCACCCCAATGCCAGGCTATCCCAGCAGCTTTGGCCTCCTGACCACCTATGGGACTGGGCTGGCCTCCACAGCCCCACGTTTCAGTCCTGCCCCAAACTCTCTACTGGCCTAGAGTAAGGGTTCCCCTCATAACCCCAGCCTTCAGGCATGCCTCAGTGCCAGGCCAGGCCCTGGAGCCTCAGACTCCAGCAGACCCAGGGTTTAGGCCTGCACCAGCCAACTCAGGGTCTAGGCCAGTTCCAGCAGACCCCAGCACCAAGCTAGCCTCTGTGGACCCAGGTTCCAGGCCAGACCCAGGTTCCAGGAACTGGGCCCAACCTCATAGACCCAGGTACCTGGCTGACTCACCTACTGACCTAGGCACTAGGCCAGCTTGACCAAGGACTTCAACAGGCCCACCTACAGACCATGCCAGATGGCCTGCCTAAAATGATTGGACAAGTTGACATGTGAAGGGCTTATCTAGACAACTCCAGTCTGCAAAGACTGGAATAAGTCTCTGCTTCTTAAAGTGAGCAGACATCAATGCATGGCCATAAGGATCATGAACAATCACAAAACATGGCAACACCAAAGCAACAAATGAAGCACCAACAACTGACCTTACAAAAATGGAGATTTACAAACTGCCTGACAAATAATTCAAAATAATCATCTTAAAGAAGCTCAGTGAGCTACAAGAGAATGTAAATAGACAAACAGATACAATTAGGAAAACAATACCTGAACAAAATTAGAAGTTCAATAAGAGAAGGAAACCATAAAATGAATCGAAGAGAAACTCTGGCACTAAACAGCACAATAACAGAAATGAACAACTCCATAGAGAGTTTCAGCAGCAGACTCGATCAAATGGGAAATACTTGGTGAACTCCAAAACAGGTCATTTCAAATTACTCAGTCAAAGGTGGGGGAAAGAATGAAAAAGAGTGAAAGAATGAAAAAGAGTGAAGAAAGCCTGCAAAAACTGTAGGATACCATCAAGAACCAATTTAGGCATAATGAATGTCCCAGAGAGAGCAGAGAAATAGAAGGAAAAAAAGAAGCTTTTTAAAATGATAGAAAACATCCCAAATATGGGAAAAGATATAAATATCCAGGTACAGAAAGCTCCAAGGTTTCCAGTCAGGTTTAATCTAAATGAGACTACACCAAGACATATTATAATCAAACTGACAAAAATCAAAGACAAAGACATGATCCAGAAAGAGAAAAGAAGCATATCACATACAAGGGAGCACCAATATGGCTCTCAAAAGATTTCTCAGCAGAAATCTTACAGGCCGAGAGAGTGGTTGATTTACTCAAAGTGCCAAAGAGGAAAACAAAGACTGACAACCAAGAATACTCGAATGACAAAGCTGTCCTTCAGAAATGAAGGAGAGATAAAGACTGTCCCAGACAAACAAAAGCTAAGGCAATTTACCACCACTGCACCTGCCTTACAATAACAGCTGAAGGGAGTTCTTCTACCTAAAAGAAAAGGACCCTAATTGGCAACATGAAACATGAAAGGAGATAACTTAATGGTAAAAGAAGTACACAGTCTAATTCAGAATACTCTAAAACCATAATGGTGGTGTGTTAATTACTTATATGTATAGTATAAAGGTTAAATTATAAACTATTAAAAATTACTACAATAATTTTTAAGGGATACGTAACATAAAAAGATGTAAATGGTGACATCAAATATTCAAAATGTGTGGTGGAAGGGAGTAGAATAAAAATGTAGTGCTTTCTCAGAAATCTGTGGAACAAAAAAATGAAGAATAAATAAATAAATTTAAAATGTAGTGCTTTTTGTGGCCAAAGATAAGTTGTTATCAGCTTCAAATAAACTGTTATAACCACAAGACACTTTTTATAAGTGTTATAGTAACCACAAATCAAAAATCTATAATAGATGCTTTAAAAAAGTGAAAAACAAGGAATCAAAACATACTATTAGGGAAAATCACTTAACCACAAAGGAAGGCAATAAGAGAGGAAGAGAGAAACAAAGTATAAATAAAACAACCAGAAAACAATTAACAAAACGGCAGTAGTAAGTCCTTACTTTATAAATCATCACCTTGAATGTAAATGAATTAAATTCTCCAATCAAAAGGCAGAGTGGCTGAATGCATTAAAAGCAAGGCCCAGCTTGATGCTGCCTATAAGAGAGTCACTTCATGTGTAAGGACACATATAGACTGAAAGTGAAGTTATGAAAAAAGATTTTCCATGCAAATGAAAACCAAAGGAGAGTAAGAGTAGCTATACTCATACCAGATAAAATAGACTTTAAGTCAAAAACTGTAGAAAGAAACAAAGAAAGTCATTACATAAATAATAAAGGGGTTAATTCAGCAAGAGGGTATAACAATACTCTGATGGAATGTGCTGTTGAAGATCTCTGTAGAGTTGCTCATTTTTGTCAATGTGGTTTTTGGTGCCAGAATTTCTCTTTATTTTTTTACAGTTTCTTTCTTGATCGATCGATCTATCTATCTATCTATCTATCTATATATATATATATATATATATATATATGTTTGTGTGTGTGTGTGTGTATATATATATACCTGATATATATATGTGTGTGTGTGTGTATATATATATATGTGTATATCTATATATATATATGTATATATCAAGCACAGGATCACCTAAACATAGAAAGCAAATATTAATAGATCCAAGAAGAGAGAAGACTTCAATACAATAATAGTAGAGGACTTCAATACCCCACTTTTAGCAATGGACAGATTATCCAGGAAGAAAATGTTAAACTATACTCCAGACCAAATGGACCTAACACACATATACAGACCTTCCATAAACAGCTGCAGAATACACATTCTTCTTAACTGCACATGAAACAATGTCAATGTCTAGAATAAATCATATGTTAAAGCACAAAACAATTCATAATAAATTTAAGAAGATTGAAGTATCAAGGAGCTCTTCTGACCATGATGGTATCAAAATAGAAATGAATAACAGAAGGAACTTCAGAAAAAATACATGGAAATTAAATAATATGCTCCCTGACAACCAATGGGTCAATGAAGAAATAAAGAAAGATGTTTAAAATCTTTTTAGCCAAATGAAAACAGAAGCACACCATACCAAAACACATGGGATACAGAAAAAACAGTTCTAAGAGGGAAGTTTAAAGCAATAAATGCTTACATCAAAAAAGAAGAAATATTGCATACCAACAATCTCTGTTGTGCCTTAAGGAACTAGAAAAACAAGACTAAACTAAGCCCCAAATTAGTAGAATAAATAAAATAATAACGATCAGAGCAGAAATAAATGAAAACTAACAACAATAAAAGCATCAAAAAAGTCTTCTTTTTGAAACGTTAAACAAAATCAACAAACTATTAGCTAGTCTTAAAAAAGGAGAGAAGACTGAGATAAAGAAAATCAGAATTGAAAAAGGAGACCTTACAATGATCATAAGAAACAATTATAAACAATTATGCACCAAAAAATTGGATAATCTAGAAGAAATTGACAAATTTATTGATACGTTTTATTTACCAAGATTGAATTATGAAGAAATAAAAAATCTGAAAAGATCATGATCGGGTAAAGAGATTGATTCCACAATAAAAAATCTCTCTTCAAAGAATAGCCCAGGACCTGATAGCTTCACTGCTGAGTTTTACCAAATATTTAAAGAAGAACTAGTAAAAACTCTTCCAAAAAATTAAAGAGGAAGAAATACTTCCAAACTCATTCTTTAAGGCCAGCATTACCCTGATACCAAAACTAGACAAGGATGTGGCAAGAAAAGAAAACTACAGTTTAATACACCTGATGAGCATAATGTAAACATTCTGAACAAAATACTAGCAAACCAAATTTAACAACACATTAAAAGGATTTTTCACCATGATCAAGTGGGAATCAGCCCAGGAAAGCAAGGATGGTTCAACATATGCGAATCAACATTAACAGAATGAAGGACAAAAACCAAATGATCATTTCAATACATGCAGAAAAAGCATTTGACAAAATTCAGTATCCATTCATAATTTTTAAAAAAGATCTCTCAACAGATTAGGAATAGAAGGAATATATCTCAACCCAATAAAGGCCATGTATGACAAACCCACAGATAACATTGTACTCAATGGAAAAAAATTGGAAGTTTTTCCTCTAAGATCTAGAACATGACAAGGATTCCCACACTTTCCACTTCTAGTGAAAATTGTACTGAAAGTACTAGCCACATAAATTAGTCAATAAAAAGAAATAAAATGCATTCAAGTCGAAAAGGAAGGGGTTAAATTGTCCCTGTTTGTGGATGGCATGATCTTATATATTTAAAAATCCCTAAAGTTTTCACCAAACAACTGTTGGAACTAATAAATGAATTTAGTAAAGTTGTAGGGTACAAAATCACATACAAAAATCAGTAGTAATTCCATACACTAGCAGCAAACTATCTGAAAAAGAAATCAAGAAAATAATCCTACTAACAATAGGTTATAAAATAACATATTTAGAAAGAACTTCAGCAAAGGAGATGATAGGCCTGTACATTGAAAACGATAAAACATTGATTAAACAAATTGAAGACATGCCACTGCACCCAGCCTGCATTGATTCTTTTTAATTGTTTGGTTATAAGATGGCTTTACGCTTTTAAAAATTCCCAAGGACTCAAAGAGATTTTATGTGGGTATTCGTTGATAATTATTATTATATTACAAATTAAAACATCATTTTAAAGTATTTGGTTTTTATTCATTAAAAATAATCCCATTATATGATAATATATATAACATTTATTAAAAATAGCTTTTATAAAGCCAAATAAACTGAAAAGATAGCATTGTTTCACATTTTTATAAAATTCTTTGTCTGTTTTACAAAATGACTGGATTTGTAAGTTTTCTGCTGCATCTGATTTTTCATAATTTCAAACATCACATAACATTTGGAATACCCTGTTACACCTTCACAAGAGAACAAGAGTGGGAAAAACTAATGATATCTTAAATTCTTATTAGAAAAACTTTGTTTTTTGAAACTTAATAAGGGCTCAGTAACTGTTGTTTATGGCTATTATTTCCCTTCCTCGTTGTGAGCATATACATATTCCATTTCAGACAGAGATACACTTTGGCATTGGGAGATCAATTCCTTTTTAGGGTAGCCATAACAAGTTCTATGGGAACCAAGTCACAACCTCTCTTACACCTTCATGAGAACTAAAGAGGTGTGTGAATTCATAAAACTGTAGCAATTTTATGTGTTTGGATACTATAATTTGTGATATTTCTCTCAAGTTATTTACTCTTGAGATATTTGAAAATCTGTATGCATACTGTGTGATGCCAAGATGTGTCCTTCCTTTTTCCTACAATTTTCCTCCAAGGACAATCAGACACAATCTTTGCTCTCCTCCAGAGAGAAGAGTCAGGGAACAATTATTTTCCCCTTAGGGAGAAGGTAGAAAGATATGAGGTCTCATAATCCTTCTGGGAATTTACTTCTTAGCTAATTCTAAATAAAACCCTTATTCCTTGAGGTTTAGTTTAGAGCTTCTTACTCTATTTTGATAGCATCAGCAAGTGGAGTATATGCTGCCAAATCTGGGATTTGTTCCTCTGGAGTCAGCTAGAGTTTCTTATAGCACATAACTCATCTATGTAGTGTTTATTCTAGTTCAAAGTTTACCCCTGAGGAATATCTAGTGCTTACACCTTCTTATGCAGAAGAGATTTATTTGCACTGTGAGATGGTTTTCAGTACTGCTAAAGTAGGACAGAGTGGCAGCAAAAATCCTCATGGCTATGCAGAGAGGAATGACACTCCTGGGTGGCATATCCTAAGTTCTTCCTAACTTAAAGTTTGTGTACCAGGTAGATGAAATAGAAATATAGATGCACCCCACTCCCACCCAGCTCTGGGAGGTTCTGCCTGCTGTGTTATGGCCAGGAGCCTTCTGATTGCTTAGCAACTTTCTCTCCATCAACTCCCAGTGCGGAGGGATGGTGGTCATCTAAATTGGCCCAACTCTATTAATTGAGAAGGCAACTAAAAGTAAGAGAGCTTCAAATGCAGGCAATGCCTCTGGATAAGGATATTTTGGATAAGCCAAAAGGATGAAAGGATCTTAGATAGATGAGATAGATAGATGATAGATAGATAGATAGATAGATAGATAGATAGATAGATAGATAGATAGATAGATGATAGATTAACTAGACAGGCAGACAGAGAGAGAGAACTACATATACATAATATATATTTATTATATAGATTATATACATATGTAATCTATCACAGATGAAGATATTCGAAGAAACTTCTGTTACTAGAAAATAAAATTCTGGTAGCAGCTGCAGTAAATTCTTTCCCTTGCAGAAACAGTGTAAGAGGTAAGTTTGTAATATAGTTACTTCTTTTTGAAATTTTCTAAACTATTACTCTCACTGTCAAAAATTATTCGACTCAAAAATTACTGTATGTGATATGGGATTCATCCTACCACAAAATAGAGCAGAAAGAGTGCCAATTCTTCTGATCAGAGTTGAAGAAATAAGATAAAGCACAGTTACAGCTCAGTTACAGGACTGTCCCGGGAGAGTATTTTACATACTGATCCTTCATACTATTGTTTTCTGCATTTCTACTATTTTATTGGCTCTATTTGGAAGGAAAAAATTTATTTAGGTACCTTAAGTTTTTCTCCTATATTTCAATGCTGCACCTTCTAAAAAGTTTTGCTCTTTCTTCACTATTATTTTCATGTTTATTTTTTAACAGTGAAATATCTCCAGATGGCAATGGAGATAAAGGATTTAATAATTCAGAGAAAAAAATAATTAAACTAAAAAGTTAAGATGTTACTACATCCATTTTTATATTACAGGAATTTTCTTTAGTTGTAGCAAAAATTCATGTTATGAACTTCATGCACATTTATATAAACCTCCCAAAATATATTCATATTTATAGATCTAAGACTGTCTCTCATTTGAGTTTGAGCCATTGCTCTTAAGATGCCACTGCCATAAAATATATGCCTCTCTAAGGCTGATATTTTGCAAAAGTTCACAACATAGCCTTCAAGGTCTTCAAGGTCCCTTTTTACTTTATTTTACTTTCTTATAAACTAAGTTTCCAATAAAGCAATTATCCTGAAACTGTCTTCTTATATGCAACATTCAAAGCAGGTATAAGACATTAACCATTTATGTATTACCTGTTTTCCCTACAGATATAATACAGTTCATTTGTTTAAGCTTATTCAAGTATATCCTATAGAAATAATGTCTATCAAATTATGTGGATTATTCATGACATTTTAATAAATCCATTTTCAAATGATTAACTTATAACTGTGAACGTTTCCTAGTAAAGTTAAAATCATGTCTTGGTAATTGATAGAAACTGACAAATAGAAGACATTAGTATATGTATTTTTCAACTAAATATAACAATATGTTTAACTAGCATTTTCTATTTTCCTGTTTCATCTAATACTATTTTAGTTATTATCAGGGCCATAAAGATGTTTAATACTTATAACCCATCCATAAGACTTTTATAACTGAGTATAGAAGGCATATCAGCTCAAATAGATGACATTTGGTATCAAATGCCTCTTCCTTTTTAATTTTATCTTGAGCATGCAACATATCTTCAAAATAGGAATATAACTCTTTTCACAGTTTTTACTGACAAACCTGTATACACTTAACAGGTGTCTGAAGAGCTTCCTTATAAGAATCTACTCTCATTCCCTAGAAGACTCTCTTTATAGGCTGATTACATAGACTTTCAATGAAATGTAAGGAAACAGGCTATCACCTTCCTTTCTATGGTAGCTGGTTGTAGACAAACAAAAGAATCCCCCAACTTGAGGAGCCCTGTGTCTCTGCTGCTCTCTGAGCCACCCCTGTGGATTATACATTGAGGTAGTTGATAAGCACAGTAACAACACTAGTATTTTTGAATAATCCAGATTCAATTTCTAGCTTCATATATGCCTGCCTCATAATTTACATTTACCTATGCCTGGTATTCTCCAAAGTGATATACAATATTTTCCAAAATATTTATATTGTTAAATCCATCCCACTTTCAAGAACATAAAAAATAATGTCAATAATAAACATGAATTAAATTACATCCATCATTGTAAAAGAAATAATT